>NC_000013.11:82840484-82993325 GCF_000001405.40 Homo sapiens
ATAATAAAACATTTTGTTTTGCCTTCATTTATTCCTTTTATATCACTTTCCCTTGTTTACGTAAATGCATGTTTCTGACCTAAATCTCCTTCCACTGGCTGAAGAATTTCTTTTTTCTAGTGGACATCTGCATTCCTTGACTCATGAGCCCTTTCTTCTGTCTTCTTTGCCAGAAAAGGTGAATCTCTTTGACTCTCCTTCCATAGTCACATCTCATTCTCTGACTCTTACCTCAGCAGGGGAAGGTTCTCTGCTTTTAGGAACTCATGTATTTAAGTAGACCCACATAGATAGTTTCAATGCTTGTGGACATCTTTGAGTGTCTTTGCTATGATATTTTATACAGAAATGAAAATAGGAATCTAATGACATTGTAGTGATAACTTCTTGTTGCCTGAAAGTTTTATCACAGAAAAAAATGCAACATTTCTTAGAGGATATACAAAGAAGTGAAAAAAATATTTTCACAAAATATAAGATTATGTTTATCTAAGGTAACTTTAAGATCATTTGCCCATACATGTGAAATTTAAAAAGTGTTCTATAAATGATTTCTATACTATTTCAATTTCAGTATAGAAGACAAGGACTATAGCTAGATGGATGCCAGCTTAAGGAGGCAAGCGAGGCTTCCAGAAGTAATTTGGCTATTAAATACATACTTAAAAGTCAGATGATCTCATTTAGTGTGAGAAGTCAGACATACATAGTAGTTTGACAGTGGGCTGAGAGTGTTGGAAGGGTGAAAAAAAAAGAAAGATGTCTGTGGCAGAGGAAACAGAAAGTATGAATGGTTTGAGTTAGAAACAAAAACTTGGTAAATTATTAGAAAGAAGACCCATATGGCATGTGCAAGAGTGTCATAAGATAGGTCAGGATAATTCAACATTTAAGATTTTAAGATAAGGATAATGCAAAATCATTAAATATTTTTAAAAATGTTAAAACAGTTGTTAATTGAATGAGTCTTCACTGAAAAAAATAGGAGGATATAAAATAGCTTGTTATTTAAAAAATCATGTATAGAGTTGTATGGAGAATGGATTATAGAGATATAAAGAAAATGTTACTAAAAGAATTAGGAAGAAATTGCAATTGTCCAGATGAGAGATTATGTTAGAAAATAAAGATGTGGGACAAATGGAAATTTATATTGTGTTAAATATCTTAGAGTTATAATTAACAGAACTTGTTGCTTAGAGATGCTGAGAAAGGAAAAAGAGGTACCAATGTCTCTCGATTCTGACATAAGCAATTGTGTGATTTGTTATGCCAATTAATAATTTAAGGCTTGCATTACAATCATTTCTTTATTAACAAATATTTGTGGGCTGGGTGCAGTCACTCATGCCTATAATCTCAACACTTTGGGAGTCCGAGATGGGAGAATGATCACTTGAGGCCAGGACTTTGAGACAAGCCTGGGAAACATAGTGAGACCCTGTCTTTTAAAAAAAATACATAAATAAATTAAATAAAAAATATAGCTGAACGTAGTGGCACACTCCTGTAGTCTCAGCTACTCACAATGCTGAGGCAGGAAGATTGCCTGAGGCCCGGAGTTACAGTGAGCTATGCTAGCACTGCTGCACTCCAGCTTGGGCAACAGAGTGAGACACTCTCTTAAAAAATAAATCAATAAAAAGTAAAAACAAACAAACAAACAAACAAAAACCCACTTACAAATATTTACAGGCTGGGCACAGTGACTCCCGCCTGTAATCCAAGCACTTTGGGAGCCTGAAGTAAGAGGATTTCTTGAGGCCAAGAGTTTGAGACCAGCCTGGGCAACATAGTGAGACCTCATCTCTATGAAAATTGAAAATAGATAAAAAGTAAATTTAAAAAAATTATAAAGAGACTATTATGAGTGAAACATTGTGCTAATAATTAGTGTAACTTAGAGTTATCAGTGGGGTAGATAAATATCAATCAAGCAATCACAAAGCTTGCAAATGTGACAGGTTGCTTTGAAAACAGATAGTAAAAGACTTGGGTTGGGTTTAAAGAGTGAAAGAGTCTTCCAAGGGGAGGTAATATTTGGGTCAAGATGAGAGGATAAATTACAGTTAAATTGGGAAAGATTGTGCAGAAATAGCAGAAGTAAAACCATTTCAGTCATTGCAAGGGCCTGTGGGTACAAAAAACACATTCAAAGAAACTTGGCTGAGGGCAGGAGGAATAGAAAGCTGTAGGGCAGTGATAGAAGAGGTGATGCAAAGAGAGACAGAGGTCAAAAGATACAGGACCCTACATACTAGAGGTCAAAACTGGTCATAAGTCACAAAGAGACCATCATTTTTGACATAGGAATAGATTCATTCAGTTAGACGTTCATGAACTTGGAAATGTATCTATGACACTAATTATACAAGACTCTTATTTATAATGTCAAGCACTAGACAGATAATTTTCATAATTTGCTTAATTTCCTTTACTGTGACAAATTCATTTCTATGGATTTTTAAAACACAGATGTTATTGAAGTTATGCCTCAATGCAGAAAGAAAAATTGCCACTGGCAACATTTTGCATATTTAACTTAGGTATTTAGTTGATATGACATGTAGGTCAAAACTTTTGTTTCTTTGTTAGAAGCCTCCATTACAGGCTGATATGTATTATAAAATTTGCTATGTATGTAGGAGGGGTGCTCGGTAGAGCATTGTATTGCTTAACAAACTCTGGTTACCTTAAACAATAAATAATAGGAAAACTATTATCTATGCATTGTTTTGCTTAGCTTATATTGGAGTTAGGTTTTCTGGACTATTCCATATACTATTAAAGTGACTATTTAGGAAACTGAACATACTACATTCTAAGTTCATTGGGGTAAAACTCTATGCTGCATAGAAATATGAAAAGTTTAATTTCAAATTATAATTTATTTTTAGTACTTTGGGAGTTAACACATAAAAAGGAAAGTATTCCTTGCTTTAATTCTCACATATTAAAATATGTGTAAAGGTAATAATATTAAAGAAGAACGTTCCCAACATCATTTAAGCAAATTTTTATAGAATTCATAAAAAACCTTGCTATTATACTGTAGTACTGCTTTGTGAAAAGAAAAAATGTGGGAAAATTATATTCTTTGCGTTTGTATTTATGGGCTAACCTTATTTCAAGTTAATTTCATTTCAGCTATTATTAAAATATTGAAATACAAAACAACTAGACATTATATTCAAAATTTTTACAATGTTTATTTTGTGTTAATATATTACATAGAAAATGAGAGTCCAGTGATATCTAGAATTAAAAAGTAAAAGATAGAAAGGCAATATGATACAGTGAATATAAAAATATTCTTCTGTAAGACACATTTCTAAATCTACCTCTGCCATCACTTCTAACAATATGCTTTAACACCACACTTCCAGATCTGTCTCACTTACTGACTGTCCTTAAAAAATGTACCTCCTTGTACATTAAGATTTTTCCAGTTTTTAGTACAAAGAAATCCAATTATATTGATTGGAATTAATTTAAAAAGAAGAAATTTTTTAGTTTGCAGGATCAAAACATCCAGAAATATTACTAAACTTAGGCAAAGCTAAGTGAGTGGCTAAAAAAATAAAATTCTCACCAAGATCCTACTTTCTCAAAGCCTCAGTTTCCTGGTGGGTAAAAGAAACGGAGAACCATAACAGTAGAATCCACCTATACAATCATAATAAGGCTTACATAAATAATATGCTTCGGGAGTTGTCAAGAACATAAAAGTTCTGTATAATTACTTGCTATTTAGTAGTTACTTTAAATATATTACTTCATAATTTTACTTTATCTAAATAAATTTACCAAATGTTATCATTTGATATAGCATCAAAAACATGAAATACTTTGGAATACGTGTAATGAACTAGGAATTCATAATCAAAACTTTAATTTTTGACGGATTAAAATATTGAAAAACCCAATTAATGAAGCACCATGTTCATGAATTTGAAGACTAAGCATTTTTAAAATGTGTGTGCTCCTTAAATTTATTTTTAGATTTATTCAATCAAAATCCATCAGATTTATGTAAAAGAGAGTGAACTGAGTCTGACATCTGACCAACACAATTTTGTTAAGTAGATAAAATTGAATGTTTACACTAACTGATTTCCAGACATACTCTAAATCTACAAAATCAAACCAATGGGCTCTGGCATAAAGTATACATGCATAAACATGGAACAGAATAGACTGTACAGAAATTGATCCATCAGTTGATATATGGGAAACTGATTTTTGGCAAGCATATCATTCAAGTGTATGGGAAAGGATAGTCTTAAGAAAGCATACAGAAAAGAAAAATCATTACAACTGTTAGATTACACAACATGCAAATATATTAAAATGAATTACAGGTCTAAATCTAAAAACTAAAACAACATTTCCAGAAGAAAAAAAAAGAGAAAATATTCATTTCCTTAGGGTATTCTAAAGGCTTTTAGACAGAACACTGAAAAACCCACCAAAAAGGAGAAATAATAAATCTGATTTAAGTAACATTAAAACCTGGCCTTCAAAAGACTTTGTTAAGAAATAAGATAAATCACAGGGAGGGAAATATATGTATAATACAAATATATGACACATTTATAATATCCAGGCAATATTAAGAAATTTAAACTCAATCATAGGAAGACGACACAATTAGAAGAAGAAACTTCAAAAAAAGAGCAAACATGAATTCACAGTAAACTCATGGAAAGATTCTCAGATTCATTAGTAATAAAGGCTATGAAAAATGAAACTATAATTGTATACTACTGTACACCCATTAGAATGAGTAAAATATAAAAGACTGTTATTACCACGTTTTCATAATGTAGAGTCACTAGACTCTCAAACATTTCCTATGATATGCAAATCCACATGCAAATCCACAAAACCACTTATGAAAACAGATTGGCATTTTGTTACAAAATTAATTGCCTGCTTACCATATAAAATAACAAATCCTAGTATTTTACCTAATCTATTTCCTTATAAAGTCTAGAGACAAATAGTTACAGTGGCTTTATTCATAATTGCCAGAAACTGAAAAACAAACCAATAGCCCATATACATTTGAATAAACACTTTCATATAATTTCATAGCAAAATATTACTCAACAATAAAAAGAATGAAGCCCTTCTACCTTCTGCAAAATGAATGAATATTTTTTAAATGCCTAGTGGAAGAATCCAGACACAAAGAGTGCATACTATATTATTCAATTTATATGTAAGGTTTAGAGCAGACAAACCTACTTTATGGAGATATAAACCATATTAATGGTTGCCATGGTGATAGAGGAAAGCAGATTTATAAATAAATAAATGATGTCAAGGGAATTATCTGAGGTTATGCTTATGTACTACATCTTGAATATGGTGCTGGTTATACATGGTATATTTTATCAAAATTCAATGAACTATACACTAAAAGCATTTATATTTTATCATATAAAATTTATAGCGCAAAAGAGATGACTAAAATATTAAGTTCTAAGAAAACAAGTCAATTGAAAGTATCCATAATCTCATGCTCATTAACCATCAAATGTAACATGAAATAAGAAGGCTGACAATTCTATAAAAAGAAAATATATACAAAATAACAAGTTATTAAAAAAACACTCTTCAGAAAGAGAGCAACACATAATAATGGCCATAAAAATACACATAATAAAAAACGTAATAAGGTATCAGACTGGACATGGTGTCTCACACCTACAATCCCAGCTATGTGGGAGGCCGAGGCATAAGAATTGCTTGAACCCTGGGAGGCAGAGATCGTGCCAGTGCACTCCAGCCTGGGGTACAGGAGTGAAACCCTGTCTCAAAAAAAAAGAAAAAAAGAAAGAAAGAAAAAAAGAGAGAGAGAGAGAAGGAAGGAAAGAAGGAAGAAACAAAGGTAGGAAGGAAGGAAGGAAGGAAGGAAGGAAAAGAAGGGAAGGGAAAGGAAGGGAGGGAGGGAGGAAGGAAGGAAAGAAGGGAGAGAGGAAAGGAAGGAAGGGAGGGAGGAAGGGAGGGAGGGAGGGAGGGAAGGAAGTAAGAAAGGAAAGAAGGAAGAAAGGAAGGGAGAGAGGGAGGGAGGAAAGGAAAGGAAAGGAAGAGAGGGAGGCAGGAAGAAAGGGAGGGAGGAAGGAAGGGAGAGAGGAAAGGAAGGGAGGGAGGGAGGAAGGAAGGAATGAAGGAAGGAAGGAAGGGAGGAAAGGAAGGGAGGGAGGCGGGAAGGGAGGTAGGAAGGAAGGAAGGGAGGGGAGGAAAGGAAGGAAGGGAGAGAGGAAGGGAGGAGGAAGGGAGGGAGGCAGGAAGGAAGGGAGGGAGGGAGGAAGGAAGGAAGGAACGAAGGGGTGAGGAAAGGAAGGAAGAGAGGGAGGAAGGGAGGAAGAAAGGAAGGAAGGAAAGAAGGAAGGAATGAAGAGGGGAGGAAAGGAAGGAAGGGAGGGAGGAAGGGAGGAGGGAGGAAGGGAGGAGGGAGGAAGGGAGGAGGGAGGAAGGGAGGGAGGGAAGGAGGGAAGGAAGGAAGAAAGGAAGGAAGAAACAAAGGAAGGAAGGAAGGAAGGAAAGAAGGAAGGAAGGAAAGGAAAGGAAGGGAAAGGAAGGGAGGGAGGAGGGAGGAAGGGAGGGAGGGAAGGAAGGAAGGAGGGAAGGAAGGAAGGAAGGAATTGAGGAAATTATGTATATGTGTTTCAAGAATTATTTGTTTGCCTGTTAATGCTCAAGTAATCAATATAAATATTTGTTGTTGGTGTTTTTTAATAACTTGTACACATTTTAAAAGATGTTTGTTAATGTAGAAAGGATGATTTTATATATTCATCAATATGACAAAACTGTTTTATGTCATTTTAAGTATTTTAGCACTTCTTGCCCCTCTAGAAGTGCTGAGGCTTGTGCAGAGGTTGCAGTGAGCTGAGATCGTGCCAGTGCACTCCAGCCTGGGGTACAGGAGTGAAATTCTGTCTCAAAAAAAAAAAAAAAAAAAAAAAAAGAAAGAAACAAAGAAATAAAGAAAAAAGAGAGCATACGCTGCAAAACCTGAGCTCTGTCTCACCAAAATGATCTAGCTATAGCCACTGCTGCGTGCATTATTCCAGAAAAGACCAGTGCAGATAATTTATTAGAACACCATTTTGTGGGGGAGATTATCTAGTCACCTGGGGGAAGTTCTGTGGGGTGGTAGTAAATCATCCTTCCCAGAATGCACACTTATTTTGGACATGCATTTTTCTTCTTTCCCTTAAGTGCCTCGGGTGGAAAACAGCACCACCTGAAGGCTTACAAAATACCTGAACCATCGCCAAGTATTGTTCTTCAGACCATTTTATAGCAAAGGAGATACCAAAATAAACTGATAATGATGCATTTCATTGGTCATATACGGGTGTGTTTATCTAGAAGCAGGCAGTCTGATTGTGTTATAAAATGCTGTTAAACTGGCAAACATTCAGCTAAAATATGGAATGACATCTCTTAAATATGGGACATTGCCTCCAGGAATATGATGTGTAATGAAGCAAAAGCTGATATATGATGCTGTTTTCATTAGCTAAATACACAGGTCTGAGGATCAACACGTGAAAGTAGAAATCGGACTTTCCTCTTGCCATCAATAAAACATACCCCTTTTTGGACTAAACATCCCATATCTGCAAATCTAGACTTTGATACATTAGGGACCCACAGTGAAACACATTAAAGATCCCATTGTATTTAAGCCCTGAAAACGAGTTGGCCATTTTGGACAGTCATGAGAGTAAGCCAGCAAGCAATGAGAAAGTTACTATTTTGTGGCATTTGAGTTGTATTATACTGTGGTATTTGAACCTGATTATTGAAAAGATTTATATATGCTAGTAAACAGGTAGAGTATATGTGAACCTGGGGGATTAAATAGTGCTTAGTAGTCTGCACAAAATTACAGCTGTCAAAGAGAAATTCCATCAAACTAAGCCTAATGAGTGCAAAGCAACTAAAAATGCAGACCCTAAAGTTATGACAAAAGGACCAACATACCAGGCAAACAACCATGTTTACAGAAGGGCTGAATGAGAGTCAGGCAATTCTACCAGAGTTCATGAAAAAGTTAAGGATGTCATGTCTAGACTCCAAACCAACTGCATGAACTAAGAATGTGTCTTGATTCACAAAACTCTTGAAGACTTCTTAGGCCATTGTGACTGCATATAACTATGAAGAAGATTCTGTGACTATCTGGAGAACAATTAAGATAACTGATGTTCAATAATAGAGACCCAGTTTTGTAGTATTAGCAAGATACCTGATAGAAATATGCACAATTCTTTATGAAAAGATGTAAAATATTTGGCATAGATTTACACACCTTCCCAAATTTACTCAGCCTTGCTTGTTACCTAGTTTTTGCATGATTTCCAGTAAACAGCCCAGCCTGTCATTCCTGTCATCTAATTTCCCGGCACTGCCAGATAGCTTGACTTTCCTGATGCAACACATCTCTGATCTAACCAGACCCATGGACACTTTGGTTCAGCTACTGCTTCTGAACTTAGAGGTAGCTCTGTTCTGTTGGGTGTGGGATTTGGCTTCTGTAGTGGCTGCCCAGGTGCACAAGGTGCTAGAATGTGAAAGTGCTGGAATGTAAATTCCCTTTTCCTTTCTCACTCTGATGGACTGTGAGATTTCTTTATACATATATTCTGAATACTAGACTTATCAGCTACATGACTTGAAAATATTTTCCCTGTTCTGTAGGTTGTCTTTTTGCTTTTTGGATAACGTCTTTGATCGAAAAAGTATCTCATTGATGAACCCCAACTTTTCTATGCTTTGGTTGTTTTATTTGTGTTGTTGGTATCATATTTACAATTCATTGCCAAAAGCAATGGCATGCATATTTACTTCTATGTTTTCTCTAAGAATTTTCAGTTTTAGAACTTCCAGTACAACATTGAGTAGAGGTGGTGAAAGTGAGCATTCTTGTCTCATTTCTGACTGTTAGGGGAAAACTTTAAGTCTTTCACCATTAAATATGATATTAACTGTTGGCTTTTCAAAAATACTCTTTATCATTTGATAAATTGCCTTTATTCATAGTTTTCTGTTTTATCATGATAGTTTATTAGATGTTGTTAAGTACTTTTTCTGCATCAATTAAAAAAATCATGTGATCTTCTTTTTTCCGTCATTATACTAATGTGGTATTTTACATCGACTGTTTACTTATTTTTAACCACCCTTGCATTCTTGGTATCAATCTAACATAATCATGGTACACAACTATTTTTATATGTTGTTGGATTGAGATTCTAGTATTTCGTTCAAAAGTTTTGCATCTACAGTCACAGGGATATTAGTCTGTAGTTTCATTTTTCAATGAAATCTTTGTCTGGCTTGATAGCATGGTAAAACTGGCCACATGGCAAAAGTTAGAAAGTGCACCCTTCTGCTTGCCTGGGACCTGGATTTTCTTATCCATCAGAGCTCTCTATCCAGTTTCAACTACTTTTGGTGATTAAAAAATACACTTTTACTTTAACAACTTTATTTTACAATCTCTTTACTGAAGTGGTTTAAGCTCTGCTCTAAATAAATACAAGAATCATCAGTATATAATTACCATTTAAAATGCAACAGAATAAATCAATTAAGAACACAGTTTAGATGAAGAACAAAAGGAACAGAATAGGGCCTTAGGTTATTCCATGATTGGGAGTTAGAAGAAAATTAAAAGAGAAGTAATACATGCAATTTCCTGAGAGACAGAAAAAAGTTACAAAAATTGAGTGTTTTACTCTGTCAGTACTGATGGGAGATCAAGAAATGTAAGAACAGAAAAGTAAAAAATAAATTTGTCCAGAATGGTGGTTCTCAACAAAAGGCACCAGTCTCCCGGGACTATCTAAATATACAAGCAGTCTTTTGCACCTTTGTGGTGGTTGTACTCATTGTCATAATAGCTTGTGGTGTAAATGAAAATGGTGTTCACACTGAAATGTACTAAGTTAAATGTAGTTATTATCTCCTAATTTCTATTTAGAAATAGGAATGTCCCATGACTTTCCTGTTTAATAAAGTAGAAAAATATTATATCAATTTACATCAAAAATAAGATTTCATATAAGTGATTAACTGCTCTTTTCCATAGCCGTAGGGTGATCTGAAATCTATAGAAAAACTTTTATGAATTCAGCAGCATGGACTCATTAATTTTATACATTTTTGCTTATATACAATTCAAGAAAAGATATTGAATAAAAAAGTATCTATTAATTTTCATGTGGCCATATAAAATTAATTTAATTAGGAAATTATCCAAGAGACATTTGCTTCTATTATAACAATATTTAATTTGCTATGCTTTTAAAAAGTGACATCATCATCATCATCATCATAATCTTGACCACCATCTTGTGTAATCCATGGGCTTAATCATAAACAGTAGTTATAACAAAGGACAAAAGCAGGCTCTAGGTTGGGCACTATACTTAGCAATGGGTCTGGCCTCAATAAAGTCAATCATAAAATGTGAAGACTGTGACAAACTCAAGATCAATAGGGATAGCTGTAATACACTAAGAGATGCTATGTAATCATCCTAGAGATAGAAAGTGGTATAGCAGTTGTGATATAAATAGGGTTACTGCCATGGATTTTGGCCATTTTACTTACAACATGGCTTTTTATTAGTGGCATTTTATAGACCCCTCAATACACCACAGTTTATCTTCCTTATTTGTGAAGTAATGTTTGTGTATTCACTTACTCACTAAAATTTGTGAACCTCATATCTCTTTAAAAATATTTTAATAGATGGATAAAATTGTATGTTTTCTTCATGGACAACATGATATTTTGAAGTATGTATACATTGTGGAATGACTAACTCTAACATATGCATTACCCCACATAGTTATCATTTTTGGGGGAGAACATTTTGTATAATTGTCTTAGCATATTTTCTTTTTTAATTATTTTTTTTAAATTTTTTAGACAGTCTTTCTCTGTTGCCCAGACTGCAGTGCAATGGCATGATCTCAGCTCACTGCAACCTGCACCTCCCAGGGTCAAGTGATTCTCATGCCTCAGCCTCCCGAGTAGCTGGGATTACAGACATGCACCATCATGCCTGGATAATTTTTGTATTTTTAGTGGAGATGGAGTTTCACCATATTGGCCAGGCTGGTCTGGAACTCCTGACCTCAAGTGATCCACCTGCTTCAGCTCTCCAAAGTGCTGGGATTACAGACATGAGCCACCTCACCCATCCTGTCTTGGCATTTTTTTCAAGGCTTCAGTATGTTATTAACTATAGTCATCATATTGTGGAAAAGATTGCTTGAATTTATGTCTCTTATCTAACTGAAATTTTGTTCATTTCTCTTTTTTCAAATAGAGAAATTAGACTCTACAGGAAAGGGTTGTTTTTAGGACAAGGTTATAATCTATGTGAGTTATTTAAATATTTGTATGTATATATGTGTGTATATATTTCCTCTAGGAGCAAGAGTTTAGTATTTTTTATTTAAGTGTTTGTGGTAACTGTATAGAACATTATTATAGAACATTACTATTGTGAATAATGAGAATCAACTACCTTAGTTTCATGCATCTTTAGCAAATGAGTAACTGTTATATACAGGGGTGGCATATTTTGCAGAAGGATTCTGAGACTCAATAAAATTTGAAAAGATATTTAACATTAATGAATTAAGGTGTTATAGGGTAGAAAACAAATGGCCCTATGGAGACAATCAAATTAGAAAAAAATCAAACACAGTCGTAGCTTTTGGGAATAATGGATATGTGCTTCATTTTGATGGTGGAAATAATTTTATAGTTTTATACATATGCCAAAAACACAAAATTGTACACTTTAAATTATAGCTTAAGAAATCTGCTTTTACAATGTGTTCATAAATCAGGAATAAATGTAAAAGGACAAATGGCATGAATGGGGGCATTTTGGAAGCAATATAAAATTAATTTCAATTAGCTGGTTGAAAATATCAAGTAAAAATTATATCACTTATGATGATGAATCATTTTGCTTTGCTCTCATGTTTACATAAAGATCTATCTCTTTACTACTTAGGATGGAGCAATGCTCTGGTAGCATTTTTCGGTACCGCTCACCAATCTGCTCACCATAAAATCTTCACAAAAGACAAGTGATAAATACAGTTGGAGAAACTAATGAGAAAACAATATCAACTTGTCACATTTCTAAAAGGAGTATTTTTTTGAGATGGTCTACAATTTATAAATTGCTCTTCTCAACACCAAAGGCCACTGTTTCCTGCTGGATCATGAACGGTACTTGATGATGATGAAAACGAAGTGATTTTCCTATTCCTTTTTTGCCATCATGGAGTGGGGTAAGTTCAACAAGCCTCTCTTCTTCCTGAGGAAGACCCTTCAATTTTGAATCTTTTCAAGTATGAATTGCTAGGCAGTAAGTGTAATTTTGACCTCAATTCTAAATTTGCTAGGGATATGGAAGGCTATAACATTTTCTCCAATTTAGAACCCAACAAAGTAAAAATCCGTGAAGGCAATGAATATCACCCAGAGCCTCCAAGAACTGTGATCAGACAATGTTTCTTAGAATGTGAGAAGCAAGTAAGTGGGATAACTGCCAAGTTGGGTTAGACCATACAAGCCAAAATAGTGATCCTTTAAAAAACAGCAATAACAAACACATAGCTTATTTTTAATGACCCAATGAGGTTGCTTTTCTATTCTATCCCTTCATCCTGTCCTTGTTGATATAGCTATGATTTTTCATGAAAGTTCATTGTCAGTGGCTGTGTGCTGTAGAAGAAAGACCCTTTTTTAAGATCAAGATTGCAAAATAATTTGCTTAGGACAATGATGATTTTTCTGTTCCTTTGTTATTTTATTTTTCTCCCCACGTCAGTGACCCTTCTTGCTAAAAACCTGAAAGTATAATGGAAGAGTCCTAGAAAATTACTTATTTCTTTGCTGATAAAAAAGTAGAACTCACCAGGAATATCCTCTTCTCTTTCTTAGATATTTTCATATTTTCACATTTTCACTATGCCCAAAATATGCATGCTACCATATTAAAAACAGACTGGAAGGGCATTCTGAGGATTGCACAGCAAAGTGATAAAGAAAGAAGGTTGAAATGTTGCTGTTTTTCTAAGTTATCCAAACTTGGACTGACCCTATTTCCATAAAACTTGTTACTTGAATAAATGACTATCTTATTGGCAAGCTACTTTTTAGTTGTTTTTTAGTAAATTTTCAGCTTTACAGTCCTAACAGATATAATGATGTGTGGCTTAATATGCATAATGATGTACTGCTGTTTAAGTATCAGTAGCTGAACAATTGACATAATTATCATTAGCTGAAAAGTATTTGCTCTGCTTCTACACATGTATGGCAAATGCTGAGAAATAAAAAAGGGAATTAACTACATATGAGTGATGTGTAACTAAACCAGCATATAAGACATACAGACAAATGTGCAGAATTAGAAAATTTAAACATATCGGAAACTTCTTCAATAATACATTATCTGTAAAATATTATAGATTACTGGGTAACACGTCATAAGCCAGTTTCTTAAGGAATTATCCTAACCTGTGAAATATAATTGGATAAACAATAATTTGCATCCCCTTATTTGAAAAGACTTTAATATTTACAAAAATTATGCAAATTGTTTCATAAAGTTGCAGAAATATGGATGCTCCATATCTACAACTTTATACATCTAAAGCAAAATTTATTCATTATTTTATTTACTTTATATGTATAGCATTCCCAATGACTAATACATTCCTTTTGGGGGTATGAGAAATAACACTATGAGAACAACAAATGTGATTTTGCACGTATTTTTTCATTGACATTGGGAGGGCCTGGCAATTCTTGAACGTGCTGTGGGCATAGGGCAAAATCACAGAATATAAAGCTGTGATTTATATTCCAAAAAGGAAATTTATATTCTAAAAGAGAAAATTAAGGACAGGAAAGAAGGCCATCTTTCTGACTCAATAAGCTTATTTTTATATTAATTTTCTATTCATATTTGAATTAGGTACTGGCATTTATTCATTTCCTGGTATGTCCTAGCTGTTTATTTTTTAAACTCTCTGAATTTCTTGCAAATCAAATATTTGTTTCTATTTTAAAAGTAGGCAGACTTTTCTCCTACTTTTAAATTTTTATCATATTTGTATAAAAGTAATTAATATTTATAACCCAAATCACATACTTTTTATGAGGACCATTTTGATGATAACAACATTTGATACATTATATAATGTATTCTGCAGCGATATTTCTTAATTACTTAATTGGCTTTTGTGACCTCTAGTCTTAATCTGCATGCCTTTTGAATCTGACTCATAAATATTTTATGACACTCATTAACATTTAAGACTTTTTGCAATTATGGCTCTTAATAATTAATTTTCCTCTTTTTGTGTAGGGTTTTTTGTGAAGGGTTTTTTGTGATTTTTTTTGATCTGTTCATATAAGAGATGGGCTGCTAGTTGATATCCTTTTTAAAATTTAATTGAGAAAATTAAATTAGTACAACCTTGATTTTTATATTTTTCTAGTCCTATTACATTACTTATTAGAGCCAAAAAAGTTAGTAATTTGTCCAAACATGCAGAAAATTGCACACATCACACACATGCATGTACACACACACACATAAACTCTGCACCATTCTCTCCCAGGTAGTTCAAGACAACACTTCACCCCAGGCCATGTTCCCAGTTTCATAATTTGAACAGATTGGCATGCTTTTTCTTATAGAAGAAACATTATTCCCATTAAGCTTAATATTCATGTTTGTTTCCAACACCTTAAAAAGCTAGTCCTCCCATACCACCACGATGACAATGATTCCCATGCCCATATTACTGTGTTATTACTAATGTCATGGAATTCCCCCATCTTCACAGCTCTGTATAACATTACATTTACGGTTAGTAAAATTCCTCATGTCTTAAACCATTTCCATAATGTTCCTTTAAGTTTCTTCTTGTCTTTATCTAATGTTTAGATGAGATATTTAAAGTAAAATATAAAAGTGATATTTAAGAGATTAATCCTTGAGAAGATAAAAGATGACCAGGTTCCAGGATAAAGAAAGAATAGACTGTAATTTGATAAAGGTAGAAGCTTTAATAGAACAAAATATCCATTTAATAAATAAATATAAATGAATAAATATCAATTTAGTAGAAGGAAATTAGATAAAATATCCATGACAACACTGTAATAGAAATTTTTCAAGCAGAGAGTATTTTATCTCCCCCATTATCCATACCTTAGGTATGGTAGCCTAAAAGGAGAGCTCTCCTTTTCTCTATCCAGAACACTAGATTTCCTTCTCAATTTACAAGGTTGAGTTTCATCGAAGAGGACTCCATACTGTATGGCTATGGTATTACCATGCCTTCTCACTTTCAATTACTGAGTTTTCAATCACATCCCCTCACATTATGGAATTTACTATATGGATTAATGTCTTTACACACGTTAACTTGTGATATGTTTTACCATAGCATCTATTATCACCATTTTAGATGACTAATCAACAGATACATTTGCCAAATTCTTAACCCCAACTCATGAAAACATTTTCTTCCATTATTCTTCATTACCCCACATCACTGATTATTTCTTGAACATTTTATTACTGATTACAGAATTATATATGAAGTGCTGATTGAAACTACCACCCTTTTTGTGCCTAACATTTTCTATCTTTGCTTCTTACTCACTAATTTTTTTAATTATGTGGAAATTTCCAGTTCATTTTTTCTTTTTTTTAAATTATACTTTAAGTTATAGGGTACATGTGCACAACGTGCATGTTTGTTACATATGTATATATGTGCTGTGTTAGTTTGCTGCACCCATTAACTCATCATTTACATTAGATATACCTCCTAATGCTATCCCTCCGTGCTCCCCACACTCCGTGATAGGCCCCAGTGTGTGATGTTCCCTACCCTGTGTCCAAGTGTTCTCATTGTTCAATTCCCACCTATGAGTGAGAACATGCGGTATTTGGTTTTTTGTTCTTGTGATTTATATTCCTTTGGGTATATACCCAGTAATGGGATGGCTGGGTCAAATGGTATTTCTAGTTCTAGATCCTTGAGGAATCGCCACACTGTCTTCCACAATGGTTGAACTAGTTTACACTCCCACCATCAGTGTAAAAGTGTTCCTATTTCTCCACATCCTCTCCAGCACCTGTTGTTTCCTGACTTTTTAATGATCGCCATTCTAACTGCTGTGAGATGGTATCTCACTGTGGTTTTGATTTACATTTCTCTGATGGCCAGTGATGGTGAGCATTTTTTTCATGTGTCTGTTGGCTGCATAAATGTCTTCTTTTGAGAAGTGTCTGTTCATATTCTTCTCCCACTTTTTGATGGAGTTGTTTGATTTTTTTCTTGTAAATTTGTTTAAGTTCTTTGTAGATTCTGGATATTAGCCCTTTGTCAGATGGATAGATTGTAAAAATTTTCTCCCATTCTGTATGTTGCCTGTTCACTGTGATGGTAGTTTCTTTTGCTGTGCAGAAGCTCTTTAGTTTAATTAGATCGCATTTGTCAATTTTGGCTTTTGTTGCCATTGCTTTTGGTGTTTTAGTCATGAAGTCCTTGCCCATGCCTATGTTCTGAATGGTATTGCCTAGGTTTTCTACTAGGGTTTTTACGGTTTTAAGTCTAACAGTTAAGTCTTTAATCCATCTTGAATTAATTTTTGTATAAGGTGTAACGAAGGGATCCAGTTTCAGCTTTCTACACATGGCTAGCCAGTTTTCCCAGCACCATTTTTTAAATAGGGAATCCTTTCCCCATTTCTTGTTTTTGTCAGGTTTGTCAAATATCAGATGGTTGTAAATGTGTAGTATTATTTCCGAGGGCTCTGCTCTGTTCCATTGGTCTATATCTCTGTTTTGGTACCAGTACCATGCTGTTTTGGTTATTGTAGCCTTGTAGTATAGTTTTTTTCTATGCTAGAGCAAACCTTCTCTTTTTCAAATTAGATTCCACAGTTTGGCATAACAATGCCCTATGATCAATATAAAATAAATGCTCATCTATTTTATTCTAACATTCACTATCCATCTTGGAAAAAAGCCATAAAAGTTATAGCTAACCGGAAAAAAATAAAAAAAATCAAATAAAACAAAACAAGTTCATATTTTCACCTAAATAACTCAATATTGTGGTAGAAAAATCACCCAATATTAATTCATTTTTCCAAAGAACTGTGACCTCGAGCCTCAAATGTGCATCTGACACTGGCCAGCATTTCTACATTACCTCTCTTTAAGCACTCTGTCTCCATTTCCCTGACATTATACTCCCCTGTTTTTCTCTATTTCTCACTTGCTTCTTAATTTGCCTTATTTTTGTCTCCTCTTTTTCATTCTAGTTTCTAGAATTCTGGAGTAATTTGTAGTTATTTTCTGGGCCTCTGTTTTTTATATATATATATGTATATATATGTATATATATATAATATATATATATAATTTTAGTAACAATGAGTTAACATGTGAACCTAGAACTTTAACATCTGGATACACATACATACATGTGCCTGCACAAACCAAGCAAACACACACACACACATACACATACACACACACGTTTCCTAACATCCAAATTAACCTAATCAACTCTTTACTTGGCATCGACAGCTGTATTTCATGTGTTTGAGAATAAGCATTACTTTATACTGTAATTCTGCTAATTCTATTATCAGAAGATCTAGAGACATCTCAATAAATGTCAAGTTCCCAGAAACCCATTACATTTAAGGCCTGCTTAACTATCAGGTTCTTGACTACCTCTGGTTTTGGCTGCTGGTAATTTCCTTTATTTTATTCTGAATATATTAGTGTTCTTCACCTTGTTCATTATAGCAGAGCCACATTTTCTTCAGACACACCCAGCCTATCTTTTCTTTAGGTAGTTGCACCACCTATTTTGTTGTTGTTGTTGTTGTTGTTTTAGACTGAAAAGTTGTTCCCCAAGCACATCATAACCCACATACTTCAGCTGAGATAACTAAAGTTATTATTTCTCCATTCTGGTTATCTTCTACCTAACAATTTATTGCTATATTTATTTTAACTTTTCATTTATTTTTAAATGGTTTATTGCCTATTTCCATCCTTAGAACATATCTCTTGTGGATAGATTTGTAAACTAGAAAATATATCAACTTCACATGATTTTATTTTCTTTGTTAAACTACTATTTTAAAAATAAAATGGTACTTATATATAGATATATCTTCAGCTTCTGCATTTTAAAATTCAGCAGCTCCAAACTATTTCTCCTTAGGCTTACCCTGAGTTAGTCCCTGAGCTTCTGATAATCCTCAATGACTGAATAGAATCTCTACGTGCATTTTGGAAGGTATTCAGCAATGAGCGTGTTCAGATCATTACCAACTATATTACTACAAACTTTAAATATAATTTTCATCCATTGCCCTTGTTTCAGAATCAAATTAACATTTCACTTGGTAACCACTATTCTATTCTGTGTTTTTATGAGTTTGACTTTTTTCAGATTTCACAGATAAGTGAGATTATGTGGTATTTGTCTTTCTGTGCCTGGCTTATTTTACTTAACATAATATCCTCCAGGTTCATCTGTGCTGTCACAAATGATAGAAATTCCTTCTTCTTTAAGGCTGAATTATGGTTATCAGGAGTTGGGGGAGAGGAATGGGGACAGGTGGATCAAAGGAGACAACATTTTCGGTAAAAGAAATACATTAAGATCTATTTTATATGATAATTATTTTTAATAACAATGTATTAGATACCTGATACATTGCTTATAACAGGGCTTAATTATTCTCACCTTAAAAATGATAAGTACATGAGGTAATGGGGGTGTGAATTAGCCTGATTTAGTAATTCCACACTGTCTACATATAACAAAACATCAAGTTGTACACCACAAATATACATAATTTTTATTTATCAATTTAAAATAAATAAATTAAAATTATAGAAAAAATTTACTTTGACATCATTTAAAAAATTTTTCTGTTTCTCCTGAACCAACTAGGTACCATATTTTGCTGATATTAATGCCAAGATGTTTGCCATCTCTTTATTTCAGTTATTTCAGTGACTAAATATACTGTATCATCATTTGCTATCGTTCAACCATGCAATTATTAGGTTGGTGCAAAATAATTGAGATTTTTGCCACTACTTTTAATGGCCCAAACCGCAATTACTTTTGCACCAACCTAAATATAATAACTTTCTATTAATGATAGGTCAATTATATTCCCTTCACTTATTCACTTCTCCGTAAGTTATATACATTTTAATCAGAATTATTTGTATAATATAAAAATTTTATATGGTAATTTTTTATACTAACATTTTGTAACTTACTCATTCAGTTAAATGAAATAATCTCAGTAACTATACAATACTAAACAACCAATTCTTCCACACTCAATTTTCTTCCACCCAACACTGGGGATTATTATTTAGCAGATTTGATTTAGTGCCTGGGAATCATTATTCTAAATATTATCACAAGTGATTCCAATAATCTCACAGCTTTAGAAACAGCTGTTCTAGACAAGATCAATTCCTAAAACTCTTTAAATTGTCTCACTTTATTTCTGCACCAAGGCTACATTACAACAAGAATGGTTTTCTCATTTAAATCTGCATATTTTTCAAAACAATTCATATCATATTTTATTTAAAATGGCTTCTAAATAAAGCTCTCACTAAAAATCAGTCTCCATATTATCCATCTTTCCATTATCTGTTATGTATGTTTATGTCTTTGAGCTTATTATTTTATCAAACATTAGTTATAATTTATAGATATCCCATGTTTCTACATGAGGAATCATCTGCATGTTCGGAGCCACGTTTTCTCATTGCCATGAAAAAAGAAAAAGCTATGTTTTTATGCTGATTTTTTCATTACAACTTCTCCAATTTTATTTTACCCTTAACATTAGTTTAACATGTGATAACTATCCAATATATAACACCTGTCCTTGACATGGTTTCTTCTTTGTACCTCATGTACAGTATGCAATAAATACATTATGATTCGGTAATATCTTTCAGATTTGTCAAATAATATATTTCTGTAGAAGAATCACAATACTTTTATTGTTGCAATAATTAATTATACAATTGACCAACTAAAAGGTAAACATTATCGATTTGTATTTGAGATTAAAAGTCTAGAAAATTGGTTAGTCTGTTTCTCTAGAAGTGTCAAGAGTTTTGTTTCAAGAGGCAGAAAACAAAAAGAAATCTAATATTAGGGAAATGAATTCCCTTTTTTGTATTGAGTATATATATCTATATGAATTAATGCATATATTTTGCATTAACTTTGGTAGTAGTTATGAATTTCAAAATATTAACAGGATATGTAAATCAACAAAATGAATGCTTCAAAATAGCCCACATATTATTTAAAGGTAAATATAATTAATCATATTTAACTATTGGGTAGATATTAACTGATGCCATACTATATTAGTAAAATGAAATGATATTTTAACTATGTACATATTCACAAGCATGGTATAGAAAGTTAATTGAAATATTCCAGAAAACAATTTTACATAAATTAGAGCAGATATGATTATCTGCAAAAACATATATTGTCTTGTAGGCCAGAAAACAGCTAAAATTTTACTGTGTGCATTCCATTTGCCAGACATTAATCTACTAGAATCTTGTAACCAAAGCACCCAGATTTCTTTGCTTATCACATGCACTCTAGGGATCTATGTTATTGCACTCATTTACGTAGAAAGTTACATAGCAGTTATTTCACTATTTCTTAGTTAATTTTCATATTACTTCTAGGAATAGAATGAAGAGAGGTGAAAATATTATTATCTCAATTTCAAATGTTAAATATTATTTGTTATATAAAATGACAGTTTGTATGTAAAATAAAGCAAAATAATAAAAATTACTAAATAAAGTAAAACAACATAATTGCAATATTAACACCCTCAATGCTATACTATTTTGTAACTAGATATTGCTTTATACATTATGTATTTATAGGTATATTTTAGTATATACTAGAGATACAGCCATGAGTAACAACAAATATTTCCTAGCAATAAAATCCATCACGGTGTATTCTGAACACAATTTATTTTACCATCTTAGTGCCCAGGCAATGGACTCAAATTTCAGTCACCTTTATCCCTTCTTTATATTCCAATCCCTTTATTTTGCCCACATTCAGTAAGTGATCGAATACTACGAACTCTTCCCTCTTCTTTATTACATTTGTTTCATCTTCTACATATCCTCTTCCACTGTTTTATTACAAATCTTTACCACATTTCACTTGAATGATTTTATACAATCTTTTGTCCACAAGTCATGGGTTCTTAAGACTATGGATGTCATATGTTTAATATACTTGAGTTCTGATCATAGAAACGAGTTTCACTCATCAGTCGCTACCTCCTATTTATTATTATTATTATTATTATTTGAGACCTAGTCTTGCTCTGTTGCTCAGGCTGAAGTGCAGTGGCGTGATCTCGACTCACTGCACCCCCCATTTCCCAAGTTCAAGAGATTTTCCTGCCTCAGCCTCCGGAGTAGCTGGAATTACAAACGTGTGCCACCACACTCGACTAATTTTTATATTTTTAGTAGAGATGGGGATTCATCATGTTGGCACGGCTGGTCTCAAACTCCTGACGTCAAGTGATCTGCCTGTCTCCACCTCCCAAAGCCCAAGGTGCTGGGATTACAGGCGGGAGCCACCACACCCAGTCTCAACGTCACTAGCTCTTACTTGCTTGTTGAACACAGGCCAAGTGTTGGTCTGAAATGCAAGGCCTCTCCTGACTCTAAGCTACCTTTGCAGAAATATTGGTAATACTCTGATTTCCATTTTTTTGTTATTTGCCCCTTCCTCGTGTCTAATGCTTGAAATCCTAGACTCAATTCAAAGCTTAATTTGAATGTCTTTTCATGCTGTAAAATATTTCTGGTTGCCTTACACAAGACAGAATGTCATAAAATATTTGTAATCTCTCATTCACTGATCAGATTCTATGTTATTTTTCTGTGACCTGTTTTATATCTTCTACATAATTATACAAACACTGAAGGCTGAAACTGTTTCCAATTAGTTTTGTTGTTGTTTTTTGAGATGGAGCTTTTCTCTTGTTGCCCAGGTTGGAGTGCAATGGTGTTATCTCGGCTCACTGCAACCTCTGCCTCCTGGATTCAAGCGATTCTCCTGACTCAGCCTCCCTAGTAGCTGGAATTACAGGCACCTGCCACCATACCAGGAAAATTTTTGTATTTCTAGTAGAGACGGGGGTTTCACCATGTTGGCCAGGCTAGTCTCGAACTCCTGATCTTAGGTGATCTGTCTGCCTCGGCCTCCCAAAGTGCTGGAATTGCAAGCGTGAGCCACTGCGCCCGGCCACTTCCAATTAGTTTTTGCATTTGATAGAAAATGTGGTGCAATGCCTGATGTTAAGAAACGCAAAATAAGATATAGATAATCACTGTTCTGCAACCATCCAATAAGGCATTATGCTTCTCTCACCTATTTTTTTCTGGACAAAAGAATTTAGATTTCAAATGTTTTATTAACTTGGCTCCAATATCTCTCTTTGCCAAATACGTGATTTTTTTTTAATCCTTTGCGACCTTAGAAAAACAAAAGGGGTATTAAATGCTGTAATTTTCTCTCTCTCTCCTCTACTTGCAAACAATAATTTGGTTATGTAAATACATTTTCTTACAGCAAAATTAAATAATTAATAAAATAATATTTTTATGACTAAAATGAAGTTCTGTTATTGACTCCTATTCCCTTCTGTGACTGGTATTGGTAGGCCTTTAATTTCCCAATTATTGAGACTTTGTTAGCCAGTTTCTGCATACCAATTCAATGCCACTCTTGACATGTTACTGTTTATATAGTGTTTTCTGCTGTGTTGTCTGATTTTATACTTCATCTGCTTTAAGCTAGTGTGGTTATTCTTTGAAAAAGCAAAGTTTGTATGCTGAGTAGAGCAAGTTTTCGTCCTTTCTAATGACGCTTATTAAAGTTCAAGCTTTAAAGACCGAGTAAATCATCCTCTACTTCCCATACACTAGGTATGGTACATATGCCGTTATTATTGCACATGTTAATAGCTACATTTAAAAAGCTTCACAAACCATGACTTCTTAGAATTGTGTCTCAATTGGTTTACTTCAAAGAAATACCAAATGCCCCTTTTCTTATGAAGACCAGTATGTTATTTCTGTAGCTGTGAAGTAAAGTATTATATAAACCTTAATGGGTTTAGAGGTAAACAAAATGTTTTCTGATCATTGTTTCCTGGAAAACTCTGCCTCATTTCCCTAAAGCCCTACCTTGTAAAGCTGCTTGCTTTGTCTCACTTTCAAATGTCAACTCTCTAATGTACAGCTGAGGATTAAAAAAAAGTCACCTGTTTAAACACAGCATCAATTCCCTGGTGTATTTGACCGAGAAACAATTTCAGATAATCATATCAGTATCTAAATTCCACACAAATATTTTCAAATCTCAGTAGATTATGTGAAGTAAGAATACTTAAATACTTAAAGATCACTCTTAAGTGATCTTTAGTTCTTAACCAGTTATTACAAGGCGAAATAGAAGATTCAGGTCACTGAGATGACGGCAATCATTCTTGGTTGGTTACTGTTGTTAGTCACTTGGTGAATGTGTTACCAATTTGACACACCATCAATAATGAAGTCTACCTTCAAGGCAATCATTAAATTGCATCTACTTATTTTATTTAGAGTTCACTATTTAAAATAAAGTATTTGGTATTATACTATATCAAATGACGTAGTTTTCCTTTGGTAATTTATATATTCCTCTTATGGATATGACTTTCTTTTCTTATTGCAATCTTATGCACTGCTCTTAAATTTAATGTATTTAAACCTGTTTTTGTATCTTACAATATAACTAAAAGTCCCTATAATTTACTCAGACTTCCTCAAAGCACAATGATAATTCATTCCATATTATAACCCAACTCCCTTACATACAAATTTGTGAATAATCCAATTTACTACAAATTATTCATTTACTGTAAGAAATGTAGGATAATATTATTTGCACGGTACCATCAAGAAAGACTACTGCTAACTATTTAGCCTCAATTTAGCTGAATAGAAAACATAATAAATCAATCACATGCAATTTCATGTTTTACAAAAAACATCATAATGCATTTTTCAATAAAAAGGCAAAATGAAGAGCAGTCCAACCTCTTGAGAAGCAACTTTGTTTAATTTTGAAAGCAATTTGAAAAATCTCAGGTATGATCTATTTGGTTTGTATTAAACTTTTGTATTTATTTATTCAATGTTTAGGCAAACGTAGGAACTTATGGTTACAATAAAAATAATGAGCCTTATATACATATTTATTATAAAAATAATTTTTGAGAGGCTTCATTTGTACATTGATTTTAATAAGATTGCATAATGTTTCTTGATCAAGTTTTTTAAACATTTATTTCTTTGATTAGCATTGAAAACTTGAGATCTATTTATAATTTGTCTTTTATTTGCACTGATTTCAACATCCTAAACTTTATAAAGCTTGCTTAATATCAATATTCCAAATAAGACTCTTTCCCATTAGAATTTCATAGTACGTTGAAATTAAAAATAATAAAATTAATAATTATAGTAGCATCTTATACGTATCCTTCTACAGTTATCTAAAGGGACACAAGACATGAATTTTATATAGAAGTAATATTTAAACAACGTATCTGTCAAATTAGAGGGATAAAAATATAAGAAACGTCCAAAAGAACCTGTGGAATGAACAAAGGTATAAAAAAGTTCAGCCAGGCGCGGTGGCTCACGCCTGTAATCCCAGCACTTTGGGAGGCTGAGGGGGGCGAATCACAAGGTCAGGAGTTCGAGACCAGCCTGGCCAACATGGTGAAACCCCATCTCTATTGAAAATACAAAAATTAGCTGGGCATGGTGGCATACACCTGTAGTCCCAGCTACTCTGGAGGCTGAGGCAGGAGAATCGCTTGAACCCGGGAGGTGGAAGTTGCAGTGAGCCAAGATCTTGCCATTGCACTCCAGCCTGGGTGAAAGAGCAAGACCCTGTCTCAAAAAAAAAAAAAAAAAAAAGTTCATAGGAGATGGGAGGGGTTCTTTTTAAGTAATTCATGTGTCTGCAATGCAGAAATGAAAATAAGGATATATACATACCTATGCACATGCATAGGTATGTATGTATGTAAGTATATTTGTGTATGTATGTATTTATATTTTTCCACGAGTTAAAATGAAATAATGAGAGATAACAAGACATTTTCCCACTTGAATTTACAGTCTGCTCATAGGAGAATAGAATTTACACTGTAACAGCGGGCGCCTGTAGTCCCAGCTACTCGGGAGGCTGAGGCAGGAGAATGGCGTGAACCCGGGAGGCGGAGCTTGCAGTGAGCCGAGATCGCGCCACTGCACTCCAGCCTGGGCGACAGAGCGAGACTCCGTCTCAAAAAAAAAAAAAAAAAAAAAAAAAAAGAATTTACACTGTAACTAATGATAAGCCATTTGAGTTTTGTGCAGGGGAGCATTTTGATCAACTGAGTATTTAAAGAATAATCACGTTTTACATTGTAGAAAACGGCTTAAAGAAGGTTAAGTAGAGAAGGAAAGCAGAAAGACAGATATTGTTTGGGAAGTCTCAGTGAGAAAAAATGAGAGAATGTCCTGGTTCTGAAGAGAAGATTCAATTTTATTATAGACAGTAGACTCACAGAGTGTCAGACAATATTGTAGTGCAGTAAACTGACATATACACAGGAATTTGTTATGGAGAATTAACACTCAATCAACACCTCTTAGACAGCGAACTAAAGTTCCAGATAAAATCAATAATAATGTATTTTCCAAAAACCTTGGGAATAGGGATTTCTGTAATATATTAGCTTACAATAGTCAACAAATATTTATTATTCTTTAAAACTATTTTTCTAAAACTTTGGCTTCAATTAAATGTAGAAATTTAAATAAGTTAAATGGTACATTTAAATCTCAGTTCTGTTTTCTGCTTCATTTTCTTCTATTTATCTCAAGACTAGGTGCATATATTTAAAATTATATTTTTGATACATATAATTGTGCATTGAAACACATAGATGTATTAAAATTATTGCTAATCTAAAATTACTATTTGCTTAACAAAACAAAAATAGACTGTGTAAAAGAAAATATTTATTCCCTTTTCCACTCTCCTAATTACAGTTTGCTGTAATTACAGTTGCACACCTTTTCATATAATTCTCAGTGTTTTTACAAATAAAATCTTTCATACAATGAATTGATATTTACTTGGTGTATTTTCTATTGAATTGAAAAACATAAAATAGTTGAGAAAACAATCAAATTGTGTAAAACACTCATTCTCAATATTTCTGTTTACAATATATTATCACATATAAGCTATAATTCTTACTTTTCTTATGGTCTTCATATGATGCTCATTCTGTTTATAGCTGACAACTTCTTCCTTCTCACAAAAAGAAAGGCTTGATGTCATTTAAACATATCCATGCTGAAGTCGTCATGCCAGTTGAACTCAACTGAGCAGCCTCTAATCACGCTGGCCTCTCTGGTTCTCAAATGTTTTCAGGGACTTTATCCTTTCACAATGTCTTTTTTTTCTTAGTTTCTGAAACTCATTTTGACTTTCTTTTTTTTTTTTTTTTTTTTTTGCTCTTGTATGTTACTTAGCTCCTAGCTGGGTGCCAGATCATTATGGGTGCACACATGTATTTTTAATGCATGGCTGTAAATATCTATTAGTGTAGCTACATTAATACCTCGCATCTTCTAATGCTAGGCAAAATTGACTCTGGTGCTCAAGTCTCTTATGAAAATGGGTCTCATAGGAACTTGGTTTATTCTCTACAGGGAAGTTAAACAGTCCAGAAGAAACGATTATGTAATCAAAGCATTGCCTGTGGCTATTCTCTGTTCTTTTCATGCCTTTGATCTGCCAGTCATACACTGTGGTATATTTCTTTTCTTAAGCTAGACTTGAACTATTTTTTATTATTTCTTTTTTAAACATTTATTGTGCTCATCTTATTTTTTTTCAAACCAGGGTATATATGTACTAGAAGGGGTTAGTCAGATAACAAGTTTACGTGTTGTAAGCACAGAATGGCATTGGGAAAGTTCTCACCGCAATAGGTGAAAGATTGTTGAGTCTTTAAGGATGTAGCCACCATTTCTGTCTGAAAACTTGAAACATTGGGAAGGGGAAGTAAATAAAGATGTAGTCAATGCATACTAAGCTCTTCAACATAAGCTTTGCTTATACACACACACAGAGACACACGCAAATGTGTATAGATACATATTTACTTAATTATGCATTTGTATGTGGATGGGCATTCCTGTATGTACCCAAAACAAGTAGAAAGTGTATATCCTGTCTATGTTTATCATTTTAGAGTAATAATTTATTTGGCCTGGCATAATTTTGGTGTATCCAAATGAAGACAGCTTGGGACTACTCGTTTAAAGCTACAGCTGTGTATTTCTGGCTGCTTATTCAAAAAATTTTGTTCATCATGAAAGATGTATCTGCAGGGAAACACTTATCTTTTCAATTCCACACGTGTTTAAGCTCCTAAATTTTATTCTTTCCAGCAGAGATTTGCTGTCAAGCACATAACATGATGTTTGATCTTAACCTGTTAATTACTTACATCACACTTAGGGCACATTAGGCAAATAGCTCAATTTATGTAAATTTGGGGACTTGTGCTTTGAATGCATAGCAAAGAAATGGTGGTTCAGATCATTTTTAATGGCTATGTTAAAGGTGAAAGCAATAGTGAACTGGTATAGTTTAATATTAATAAACATGCATATTCACTGAAATTCATGTGGGAACAATTTTCCAGATTATTTATATATTCATTGATAGACATTTTAGAAAACCAAATTATTTCCCAAATCTTACAGGAGAGTATGTGTTATGAACATTTCTATTTTCCATTATTTTAATGTACATATAATAAAAAAGAGCTGCTACAGATACAATTGTTCTCTTTTTATAGTTAATTCTATCATAATATTTAAGCAAATGATTATTTCTGAAAAGTCTCAGTTGATATGCAGCTGATGTGAGTTATCTTCAACCGTAATGTTAAGAAGGCAAATAACATTACTTTCATGCTTGTGGTGAATTCATGTAATATTTGGGAAGGTGCAAAACAACCTTATTAGGTAAGATAAATTAGAATTTTTATTTATGCAGGCAAAGATCTACTTTGTGAAATATAGAAGATTATTTATTTTTATTTCAAGTCTTCTACCTTTTATTTGCTCTGTCTCCACTAATCCAACTGGTCAGTGTGCCAGTAGACTATCCAGTGGGAATAGTGTTAGCAAAGGTTTTTGACACAATATTAGCTTTAAATTAAAGATATCTGAAGTTTTACCATTTCACTTTCTGTGATATTTTGATAACATTAATAGCATTAACACACTTACCTTTCTTTCAAATTTGCTAAAAATAGGGGTTGATTGTATTCAAATTTTTTCTCCGAGACTATTCATCCTTCCAGACAAAGACTATTAAACATAACTTTCTCCTTAATCAAATTTTAGTAAGGCTCCTATAAGCTCTCTTCTCAAGTAGTCCTCAACCTTGCATTTCTTTTTCATCCTTGCAGAATTCACCTTTAGCAATAAGCCTGCTAAATCACTTTAGGGAGAATCCGTCCACTCTTAATATGAAGTCACTCTGGCCTGCCCTCAGCAAGAATCCCATTTGGTCAGTCTAGCAATAATTTCTCCTATCCTTGATGTCTCTTCTTAGTAATTTTCCATCCAACAACCAACCCCAATCTGCTCCTTGGCTATTAATCCCCACTTTCTCCAATTGTATTTAGAGTTGAGTCTAATCTCCCTCCCCTATAGTCATGGCACATATTGCAATATTTTTAAATAAAGCCTTTAGCATTTCAGCAAGTGTCAGAAATATTTTAACATTACTCATATTTTATTTAAGATTTCCGCATCTATATGTATATGTTGGACTAACATATACTAGATTTTTTTTTTCATTAAAAAACTCAGCATATTTGTTTTCATCTTTCTTAGAGAAGTTAATATGGTACTGGAATTTTTTCTTCTTTCCTAAGTTAAAGTAGCTAGCTTAATTCAAAAGAGAGTATGTATGTTTGTATATAACTGGTTTTGACAAATGCTCACATTTTTTAATGCTGTAGGTGAAATCATTTTTCTACATTTTATTTAAATGCCTGTCTTTAATGATTTTCTAAAACATTGTTAATTTTTTCTGTTTTTAAATATATTGGTGAGGATTATTTTGTCAGTTTTCTGTTGTTGTTGTCCTTTCCCTCTCAATGAATTCACTTTTTCTGTGCTTTCCACTTTATAAACTTCTTATTTGATGTTTATTATTTATTGTTATATTTGTTTTAGATATACTCTGTAGTTTTATTAGCAGCTTGATTGAATTTCTAGGCCTTCACTGTTCAATCTTTCTTATGTACATGGGAAAGCATTTAAAGCTAAACAATATTTATGTACTATTGATTTTCCATCTAAGTTTTGATAGTATGTTTGTTACCATTAATGTAATTTTAAGCATTTTATTATATTCATTGTGTTAACTTATTTTACTGATGAATAACTTTAAGTCACTTTTTATTATTTTCAAATGTTGGAGATAATTTAAATATGTATTTGCTACTTATTTCCAATTATATCTTGTGTCTTATGGACATACAAATACTAATGCGTGAAGTTATGGATGAATTCACTACCTTGATTTGATCCTTATACAACATGTACATATGTCAATATATCAAATTGCACCCTATAAATATATATAATTACAAAGTGTTCATTAAAAATATTAAAATTGGTTAGCATTCTGTACTAACTTTAAAGTAGTTACATAGAGTACTTTAAAAGTCAAGAGAAATTTTGGGTATAATTAACAGTATGAGCAAAATTATTGAGGTGAAAAAATTATGAACATAAAATACCAGAAATGATATAGACAAAAATGTCAAAAGTGAAAAAATAATAATCATTAATAGAATATTCATTTTCACTTTTTTTTCATTTTTTCCTTCTATCTTTTAAGTTCAGGAAATAACTTGTGCAGGTTTCTTACATGAGTACATTGCATGTGATAGGTGTTTGGTGTAGAAATCATTTTGTCACCCAGATAATAAGCATAGTACCTGATGGGTAGTTTTTCAGTCCTCACCCTCCTCCCATACTCCACCCTCAAGTAGGCCCAGGTGTCTATTGCTCCCTCCTCTGTCCATGTGTATTCAATATTCTGCTCCCACTTATAAGTGAGAATATGTGGCATTTGGTTATCTGTTCCTGTGTTAACTCACTAAGGATAATGGCCTCAAGTTCTATCCATGTTACTGCAAAGGACATTATCTCATTTTTTACAGTTGCATAGTATTCCACAGTGTGTGTGTATACACACATGCACACACAATCACACAACATTTTCTTTAACCAGTCTACCATTGATGGGCATTTCCATGTCTTTGTTACCATGAATAGTGCTATAATGAACATATGCATACATGTGTCTGCATGGTAGAAAAATTTATATTTTGGGAGGAATCTACCCAATAATAGCATTGCTGGGTTGAATAGTACTTCTGTTTTACATTCTTTGAGAAATCTCCAAACTGTTTTTTACAGTGGCTGAACTAATTTACACTCCCACCAGCAGTGTATAGGAATTCCCTTTTCTCCACATCCCTGCCGGCATCTATTATGCCTGACTTTTTAATATGGCCATTCTAACTGGTGTGAGATGGCATCTCACTGTGGTTTTCATTTGCTTTTCTCTAATGATTAGTGATGCTGAGTTTTTTTTCATATGCTTATTAGACGCATATGTCTTCTTTTAAAAGTGTCTGTTCATGTCCTTTGCCCACTTTTTAACGGGGCTGTTTGTTTTTTGCTTGTTCATTGTTTTAGTTCTTTATAGATTCTGGATATCAGACTTTTGTTGGATGAGTAGTTTGTAAATACTTTCTCCCATTTTGTAAATTGTCTGTTTACTTTGTTGATAGCTTATTTTATTGTGCAAAGCTCTTTAATTATGTCCCATTTGTGAATTTTTATTTTTACTGCAATTGCTTTTGGCATCTTTGTCACAAAATCTTTGCCAGAGCCTGTGTCTAGAATGGTATTTCCAATGTTTTCTTCTAGGGCTTTTATAGTTTTAGGTTTTTATGTTTAAGTCTTTAATCCATCATGAGTTGACTTTTTTATGTAATGTAAGGAAGGGGTCCAGTTTCAATCTTCCACATGTGGCTAGTTAGCCCAGAGTCATGTATTGAATAGAGAAATGATTGTAGGTGTGTCGCTCTATTTCTGGGCTCTCTATTCTTCTCAATTGGCTCTATTCTTCTCAATTGGTCTATATGCCTGTTTCTGTGCCAGTACCATGTTGTCTTGGTTATTGCAGCCTTGTAGTATAGTTTGAAGTCAGGTAATAAGATGCCTCCAGCTTTTTTTTTTTTTTTGGATCACTTTGGCTGCTAAGGCATGTTTTGGTTTCATATAAAATTTAGAATAGGTTTTTCTAATTCTGTGAAAAATGCCATTTGTGGTTTGATGGGAATAGCATTGGACATGTATGTTGCTTTGGGTAGTACGGTCATTTTAACAATATTGATTCTTTTTATTAATGAGCTTGGAATGTTTTTCCATTTGTTTGTATTATTTATGATTGCTTTCATTGGTGTTTTATAATTCTTATTGTAGATATCTTCCCCTCCCTAATTAGCTATATTCCTAAGTATTTGTGTGTATGTGTGTGTGTGTGTGTGTGAATTGTGAATGGGATTACATTCTTGATTGGGCTGCCAGGTTGGACTTTTTTTTCTAAGAGGGTCTTGCTTTGTTGAGTAGGTGGTAGTGAAGTGGCCCAATCTTGCCTCACTGGCAGCCTCAATTTCCCAGGCTCAAGCAATCAACCCACCTCAGCCCCAGAAGCAGCTAGGAACTACAGGTGCATGCCACTATGTTTGGCTAATTAAAAAAAAATAGAGGTGACGGTCTCAATATTGCCTAGACTAGTCTTGAGTTTCTGGCCTCAAGGGATCCTCCCTCCTTAGCCTCCCAAAGTGTTGGGATTACAGGTGTGAGCCACTGCACCCAGCCGAGATATTGTTGATGTGTAGAAATGCTACTAGTTTTTTTACAATAATTTTGTATGCTGACACTTTGCTGAAGGAGCCTTTGAGCAGAGACTATGGAGTATTCTAGGAATAAAATTATATCATCTGTGAAGAGAGATAGTTTGACTTCCTCTTTTCCTATTTGGGTGCCTTTATCTATTTCTGTTGCCTGATTGCTCTGACTAGGACTTCCAATGTTAGGCTGAATCGGAGTGTTGAGAGTAGGCATCCTTGTCTTGTTTCAGTTCTCAAGAGGAATGTTTCTACCTTTTGCCCATTCAGTATGATGTTGGCTATGAGTTTGTCATGGATGGTTCTTATTATTTTGAGGTATGTTTCTTTGATGCCTAGTGGGTTTAAGGTTTTTAATATGAGGAGATGTTGAATTTTGCCAAAAGTCTTATCTGTATCTATCGAAATAATCATGTCTTTTTGTTTATTAATTCTATTTATGTGATGAATCACATTTATTGATTTGCACATGTTGAACCAATAATGCATCCTAGGAATAAAACCTACTTGATCATGTCAAATTAACTTTTTTGATAGGCTGATGGATTGTTTGCTACTATTTTGTTGAGAAATTTTTTTCTATGTTCATCCGGAATATTGGCCTGAAGTTTTTTGTTGTTGTCGTGTCTCTGTCAGATTTTGCTATCAACCTTATAGCATCAGTTATGGAGTAGTTCCCTATTTTCAATTTTTGGAATAGTTTCAGCAGGATTGGTACCAGACTTTGTTATATGTCTTTTAAAATTCAAAATTTGGCTCTGAATCTGTCTGGTGCAGGGCTTCTTTTTTTATTATTATTACTGATTCAATTTTGGAACTTATTATTGGTTTGGTCAAGGTTTCCATTTCTTTATTGTTCAATCTTGGGAGGCTGGGTGTTTCTAGGAATTTATCCAGTTCTTCTAGGTTTTCTAGTTTTTGTGCATAGCAGTGTTTGTAATGGTTTCTGAGAGTTTTTATTTTTTTCCTGTGGAGTCAGTAGTAATGTTCCCTTTGTCATTTCTAATATTTTTTATTTGAATTTGGCCATTTTCCTGTGTTAGTCTAGCTAGTGTTCTATTAATCTCTTTTCTTCTTTCAAAAACCTAACTTTTTGTTTCATTACTCTTTTTCTATGTGTTTTTTTTTTTTGCACCTCAATTTTATTCAGTTCAGCTCTGATTCCTGTCATTTATTTTCTTCTGCTAGCTTTGGATTTGCTTTGCTTTTGTTTTTCTAGTTCCTCTAGGTGTAATATTTCATTATTAATTGGAGATCTTTCCTATTTTTTCATGAGGGAGTTTACTGCTATAAACTTTGCTCTTAACACTGCTTTAGCTGTGTACAAGAGATTCTGGTATGTTGTGTCTTTGTTGTTTTCATTAGTTTCAAATAATTTCTTGAATTTGCCTTAACTTCATTGCTTACCCAAAAGTCATTCAGTAGTAGTTGTTTAATTTCTATTTAACTGTATGGTTTTCAGAGATCTTCCTAGTATTGGTTTCTATTTTTTTGTGCTGTTATCCAAGACTGGTTGGTATGATTTTGGCTGTTTTGAGTTTGTTAATTGTTTTTATAGCTGAGCATGTGGTCTATTTTAAGGTATGTGCCACGTGCAGATGGCAAAAATGTATATTCTCTTGTTATTGGGTGGCATTTTCTGTGCATCTGCTAGGTCCATTTGCTCAAGTGTCAAGTTGAGATCCCTAATATCTTTGTTAGTTTTCTTTCCTCAATCATCTGTCTGATACTGTCAGTGGTATGTTAAATTCTCCCAGCATTATTGTGTGGTTATCTAAATCTCCTTATAGGTCCCTAAAAACATGTTTTATAAATCTGGGTTCTCCAGTGTTGGGTGCATGTTTACTTATGATAGTAAAGTCTTCTTGTTGAATTGAATCATTTATCATTATATAATTGCCTTCTTTGTCTTTTTTGATCTTTGTTGGTTTAAAGACTATTTTGTCTGAAACTAGAATGGCAACCTTGGCTCTGTTTAGTTTCCATTTGCTCAGTAAATTTTTATCCATTTGTTCGTTTTAAACCTATGTCATTACATGTACAGTAGATCTCTTGAAGACGAAATAGCATATAGTTGCATCTTTCTTCTTTATACAACTTTCTACTCTGTGCCTTCTAAGTGTAGTTTTTACTCTATTTACATTCAAGGTTAGTATTGATATGTGTGAATTTGATCCTATCATCATACTGATAAATGGTTTATATACAGACTTGATTGTGTAGTTGCTTATATTTCCAATGGTCTATGTAATTAATTGTGTTTTGTGGTGGCTGCTAGTAGTATTTTGTTTCCATGTTTAACATTCCTTTAAGGACACCTTGTAAAGTAGATCTGGTGGTAACAAATTCCGTTAGAATTTGCTTCTCTAAAAATGATCTTATTTCTCCTTTGCTTATGAAGCTTAATTTGGCTGGATATAAGATTCTTGACTGAAATTTCTTTTATTTAAGAATGCTGCATATACGCAGCCAATTTCTTCTGGCTTGTAGGGTTTCTGACAAAAGGTCTGCTGTTACCCTGATGGGGTTCCCCTTGTAGGTGGTCTGCCCCTTTTTTCCAGCTGCTTTTAATAGTTTTTCTTTTGTATTTACCTTGGAGAACATGATCACTATGTTTCTTGGAGATGGTTATTTTTTAGTTATACTTTTCTAGAAAATAGGTGCTTAACCAGAATGAGTATATATATATATAAATTCATATGTTTATATATATATATGGATTTATATTTTATGTTTATATATGTATGTGTATATATATATATATATATATATACGGATTCACTTATCACATTTAATAGTGAATATAGTAGCATTTTCTCAGTTACTAACTGGATAATGAATGAAACAGAAACTATGACATTTTACTCACTGAAATGGGACTCCATTCCACATAGAAAAAGTAGTTTTCATAAAGAATTAACCTAGATATTGAATGAAAACATTATTTACTAGAATGTAATTTAAAAATTTTCACACCCATGCATATAGGCTTGCCTTTTTTAAAGATTATCTGTGATTTGGAGTAGTGTAGCTTCATAAGCCAGAAAAAGCAATTATTGGTAGCAATTAGAATTGTAAGAAATCCTAAGCTCAAGCATTTTGCATTTGATTTTGTTGACAATGAGATAAAGGTAAATACACTGGCATTTTTTTTTTTCCGACACAGTAACACCTAGTAGTGGATTAACTCGTAAAACAAATCTTCAATAGTTAAATATTCCATTTGTAACATGTTCATCTAGCCAAGATTACTTTCTTAATTGCTGCTCATCATTAGAGTTGAGAAATTAATTTTCATCACAGGGAACATACAGAAGAAAAATTTACTATTTAGTTGGTAAGAAATTTTGCCAGTGCTATTTCATAGAAATAATTGTCTAAATAGAATACATTTAAAAGAAAAAGTGTCTGCATTCATAGATACACATCTATGCACACATACATGAAAGAGTTGCCAATAGAACTGTGCCATGTTCTATGTTTTGTGATTATAAAATGAAACTATACAAAAAGGCAGCTGGAATTTGCCAAATAGGCAGAGGCCACAGAGGTTCAATTGTGCATATACTGCTCCAGTTTTCCAGAATAGCATGACTATTCTTCTCTTTATCATAATCATGCACAACCAGAAAAATTACATTAATAAAAACAAATCATAATTGAAGATCTAAACTTCATTTCAGGATAATTTTGTTGAGATGTGTTACAGACAAAGGATGAGGCCATACTGGAAATAATTTAATTTTTTTAAAAATCCTATGTTTAAAAATATTATGGAATTACTGCAAGTGTTATCTTTTTCCCCTCTGTCTTTGGTCAACCCATTATAATTAATAAAGTATGAAAAGTATAGTTATGTTACTACAGATTTCTAAGAATTTTTTCTCTCCAGTTAACTTTAAAAGTTTGTTTTGGCTTAGAACAATTATAGGACCTACTGCTTAAAATGTTTTTTTTTTTTTGAAACGGAGTCTCGCTCTGTCACCCATGCTCGAGTGCAGTGGCGCCATCTCCACTCACTGCAAGCTCCGCTTCCTGGGTTCACGCCATTCTCCTGACTCAGCCTCCCGAGTAGCTGAGACTACAGGCGCCCACCACCACGCCCGGCTAATTTGTTTATATTTTTAGTAGAGACGGGGTTTTACCATGTTAGCCAGGTTGTTCTCAATCTCCTGACCTCGTGATCCACCCGCCTCGGCCTTCCAAAGTGCTGGGATTACAGGCATGAGCCACCGCGCCCGGCCGCTTAAAATGTTTTTAAAGTATAAAAAAGTGATGAATACAAAAGAAAGTTAAAAACTTTACTGGTAACCCTAGAGCTAGAATATATCCTCTAAATTTTAGTGTTTTGGAGGACATTTACATCCATGATCATAACTATTTAAAATAATATCTGTATTCCAGCTGTCGAGATTTGTTAATGCTAGCTGATATCCATTCTGAGACTACGCTTACATTTACTTCAGATAAATTATATTCTAAAAGTTAACATAGTTATGCCATTTGTATGCATACACATTGTGTTTTCTACTTAATTTTCTAGGCTAATTAACTTCTAATGTTAAATTTTAGATTGGTCCTATGTTTGAGGTTTGTGCCTGCCAACTAAGTTTATCTCAAGCTCACATAATGGGTTTCACTGGAATACATTATGCTATATTTATCATGAGGATAAATTATATTTTACCATCTCCCCCATATCGACAGGAGAGATTTCCATAGATTTCTAAAGACTAAAATCAGATAAAAATAAATATATTAATCATGATTCTACTCTGAAATTCAAAAGATCCTTGTGGGTCTGGAGTTTTTTAAGCACAACAAAGGACATTGATATATGATAAATTTATTTAGTAAGGAACAAGAAATAAGAATATATTTTACCCCAATTCTGTTTCAGGGAATACATAGTTTTTTGTTTTTTTCCCAATTTCTACTGTCTTAATAGAGTTAAAGCAATGTTTTGGACACACAATTGATTAGCTGAAATAATTAAAAATGCTAGAAAACAGTTTCTTCTCACTCTCAAAGGAATCGACTTAATTGATCCTTCTTAATTTGAAGGTTTTTCATGAGAAAAATATTCTAATTTATTTAGTGCTATTGAGAAAAAAAAATAGTGGCACAAATTTCTGCCTCAGGAGTTCATAGCCTATGTCCCAGTTAAAATAGATCATAATTTCTGATTTCTTTCTCAAGATGGATATAGAAAAAAATGAATTGGTGGTCAGTTGATTTTTTATTGATGCTATATCTGGTCAAACAAATTTATTACTCCTGGGAAGTTGAATTTATCTATTTGAACATGCAGAAAATGTCATATAGAAGGCTCACCTACTGGTAATACTTTAATTATAATCTACAGTGTCTTTCTTTAACTCCAGTTCCTATATATAAAACTGGATCTGCTTCAATTTTGTTTCTTTCCAAATAGTGACTAATCTCCTAAAACATTAGTTACACTGATATTAATGTATTAAAGTCATGATTCTAATTACTATTATCCCCAAATCTTCATCCTTCTTAGGGAAACAATATTTTGGAAGAATATTAGATAACATTTTGCAATTAGGTCAGCCATGACAATTAAACAAGCAATACGGTATGAGTTTTGGCTTTTATTTATAATGTATAAACAAACAGGTAGTTAGTTGTACATTAGTAATCTCCAAGTCTTATAATTAAAACAGAACTTTTGACAACCTAGCAGTGACACTGGTTAAGTTAGCAAATTCATAACAACCAGCAAATTTCACTCCAGTTCTTATCTCTCCATCTGAACTCCTAAAAGAACTGTATACTTAAAGTGCTTTTAAAATAGAACACATACACTTGTATTTCATAATGACTTTGGATTCTAGGAATTAATTCCTCCTCTAATATCAGGTTTTTCTTCTTTCCCCAATGTGCAGTCACCAAGTAAATAACAGTTTCTTTGGAGAATGGCTATGTAAATGATTTTCATGTACACTTGACTTAGCTGGCTCTCTTATTCACTTAATGAGTCTGGGCTGAGATCCAAAAACTGGGTGACTACCCTCAGCATCCTGTTAATTCATCTTTGCTTTTTTATTTATTTATTTATTTATTTTTTAGATGACACAACTTGAGCAGTACCCTTGCTGTGTGCCCTCCTATGCAACCTCCAGGGATACTATGTTCTGTTAAGTATCTCCATGACTCTCTGTGGGTCAAGGTCCCCAAACTCCCACCATTTGCTCTCTATGACCTTTTGATAATTGTATCTACCTATCTTCTGACAGTTAACTATTGCCATGATTTCTTCTTGAGGGAAGTCTTTTATGCCCTTTATTTTCAGTAGTAATAATTATGGAAATGCCTCTCCTAGGATCAGGCTTGTACTAGAGAGAAAAATTGATACTGAACATTTTAGTGCCTCTATCTGTGCCTCTATCACCAGCAAATATGGGTTGACCATGCAGAGGAAGGGTTTCTCATTGTTAAGAAAAGTAGGAGTGTATATTTATAACAGAAAGGATTGAGTCATTTCTATAGACTGAGAGCTTTTGGAAAAAAAATCTTCAGATTCAGGATTTTAAAGAACATCAACCCAAACATAATGTTGACCTTAGAATAGTAGATGTAGTTTTGTTGAGAATGTAACCGTCTTTGGAGCCCAGATATGAATATTGACTTCTTATCCTAGTACTCAGAATTCTCTATAATCATGCTGCAGGAGTTGAAGGCCAGTTTGGGTATGACCCAGGAAGCACTATGGTGTTCACACTTAACTTTCTTTTGCAAGTTGATACCCCTTAGCTTTTTGTTACCTTTATCTGGAATGTCTGGATGTTAGTAAGAGCCACACAATTCTATTACAATTATAATTTTGCCATATTTCTGTAATTACCCATATGTTATAATCTGTAATCCATTCCTGTTAACTATTAAAGCACTGCAAATCACCAGTGGTTACTGTTGTAGCAAATGGACCACCAGTATTTGCCAGCATAATTCTATTCTCCAGCTAACACTAGTAATTATGTTTTCATTGTCAGCCATGTAGAGGGGGATTCAGCAGTAAAACTTCATTTTATTATCGACTGCCTTTAACTACTTTTGTATTTATGCAGAAGAGAAGTTCTTCATGAAGAAATCTTTGAGATGGATATTCTAGCATGCATGTTTGTTAGGGACTATCCTCAAGATCAATGATTGTGGAAGAAAGGCAAGAAAGCAAAGCTGAAACGTAATGAAGGCCCAATTTTGGCCATAAATATCCCATAGGGAGCTCTCAAGCTAACATGTTCATTCAGAGGAAACACAAACAGAATAAAGAAGACCAGGTCTTTACACCCTACAGCAAGCAGCCATTGTATGCCAGCTACAAGGAGGAAAGATGTGTGATTTTTAAACAAGGCAGCATTCTGAAAGTAAGGCAATTCTGAAAAGGGCTAAAAGCCCTTAAGCATCTGGAACAATGGGTCCTCTATTGAAAGAGCAACAGGTCACTGCAACACAGTAATAAACTCTTATGTGCAATACTTGTAAACTAAGAATAATACAATATTGTGAAAAGTATTTAACAAGGATGTAAAGTGTTCAATGACATCTCAATGAAAATTGTAGTATAATTTTTTTGACAAGCTCCTTATGAAAAGTATACATTAATGCCAAGAACCAAGAATTGCCAATTCAATTTTAAAGAAGGAGAAGGAGGAGCACTAAATAAAAAGAAAATTTTAAAAATCTGGAAGATTTATACTGCTACAAAGGTAGATCTTTTGTAAAGCAATTATAATTAAGGTGGTATGAGATTGACAGGAACTCATGTATATTAGAAAACAGAACAGTACAGAGAATTCTGTAAGATAATAAAATGTTTATCAACTGCTTCTTAGCACAGATAACAGATGACACTGCAGTGCAGTAATGAAAAGGATACTCTTTTTTATAAATAATGATGTGTCAAATTGCCATTGAAGTAAGAACAATTATTATTTTTTAACTTCATATAATATAAAATTCAATTTCAGATGTACTCAAAGTCTACATGTAAAAAAAGGCAAAAGTAAAGCAATATTTTTTAAAAAGAAAACATAGTAAAATATTTTATCAATTTAAGTAGGAAAATACTTCAAAAGAATAGCAAAACCACTATCTTTAAGGAAAAAATAGATAAACTGAAGGATACTAAGGTGAAAAACATTTGTTCTTTTAATCAAAATAAGTGACCATGGTGAGTCTCATTATTTTAGAAGACTTATTTGCCAAGGTTGAGGACACACCTGGGAAAAAACATGGATCCACAGGAAAAATTGTGGTGCATGCTTTTTCCAAGAGGGCCTGGGGGCCTTGATATTAAAAGGTAAAAGGGTGGTGTATTAGCCTGTTCTTGCATTATTATAAAGAAATACAGAGACTGCATAATGTATAAAGAAAAGTGGTTTAATTGGCTCACACTTTTCAGGCTGTACAGGAAGCGTAGCAGCTTCTGCTTCTGGGGAGGCCTTAGGAGCTTCCAATCATGCCACAGGCAAAGAAGGAGTAGGAATAACATGCTTTTGCCCTGTTTCCCCACCCAAATCTCATTTCAAATTGTAGTCTTCACATATTGAGGGAAAGACCTTGTAGGAGGTGATTGATTCATGAGGGCAATTTTCCCCATGCTGTTCTCATGAAAATGAGGGATTTCTCATGAAATCTGACGGTTTAAAAGTGTTTGGCTCCCTCACTCTCTTTCCCCTGCTACCTTGTGAGGAAGGTGTTTGCTTCTCCTTTGCCTTCTGACATGATTGTTAAGTTTCCTGGGGCCTGCCCGCCCTGCAGAACCATGAGCCAATTAATGCTGTTTTCTTTATAAACTACCCAGTCGCTGGTATTTTTTAGTAATGCAAGAATGAGCTAATACATAAAATTGGTACCATGGATTGGGGCAATGCTATAAAGACATCTATAAATGTGGACGCAGCTTTGGGACTAGGTAACAGACAGAGTTTGGAAGAGTTTAGAGGGCTCAGAAGAAGACAGCAAGATGAGGGAAAGTTTGGAACTCCCTAGAGACTGGCTGAGTGGTTATGATCAAAATGCTGATAGTGATGTGGACAGCGAAGTCCAGGCTGAAGTTGTCTCAGATGAAGATGAGGAACTTATTGTGAAGTAGAATAAAGGTCACTTTTGTTGTGCTTTAGCAAAGAGAATGGTGGCATTTTTTGCCCCTGCCCTAGAGATCTGTGGAATCTTGAACTTGAGAGACATGATTTAGAGTATCTAGTGGAAGAAATTTCTAAGCAACAAAGCAGTCAAGAGGTAACTTGGTTTATTCCGAATGTGTTCAGTTATATGTGTTCTCAAAGAGATAGTTTGAAATTAGAACTTATGTTTAAAAGGGAAGCAGAGCATAAACGTTGGGTAAATTTGAGCCTGACCATGTGGTAGTAAAGAAAAACTCATTTTCTGTGGAAAAAGTTAAGCCAGCTGCAGAAATTTGCATAAGTAACAAGGAACCAAATGTTAATAGCCAAGACAATAGAGAAAATATCTTCGTGGCATTTCAGAGATCTTTCCAACAGCCCCTCCTATCATAGTCCCAGAGGCCTAGGAGGTAAAAATGGTTTTGTGGGCTGAAACCAGGGCCCCACTGCTATGTTCAGCCTCATGACTTAGGGCCCTGTGTCCCCGCTGCTCCAGCTGTGGCTAAAAGGGGCCAAAGTACAGCTTGGGCCATTGCTTTAGAGGCTGAAAGCCTCAAGCTTTGGTGGCTTCCACATGTTGTTGGGCATGTGGGTGTGCACAAGGCAAGAGTTGAGGTTTTGGAAACCTCTGCCTAAATTTCAGAGGATGTAGGGAAATACCTGGGTGTCAAGGAAGAAATCTGCTGCAGAGGTGGAGCCCTCATGCAGAACCTCTGTTAGGGCAGTGCAGAGGGAAATGTGAGATTGGAGACCCCACACAGAGTCTCCACTGGGGCACTGCCTAGTGGAACTGTGAGAAGAGGGCCACCATCCTCTAGAGCCAAGAAAAGTAGAGCCACCGACAGCTTGTACCATGTTCCTGGAAAAACCATAGGCACTCAACACTAGCCCATGAGAGCAGACAGAGGGGCTGTACCCTGCAGAGTCACAGAGATGCAGCTGCAAAAGGCCTTGGGAGCCTGCTCCTCCCCTTGCATCAGTGTGTTCTGGATGTGAGACATGGAGTCAAAGGAGATTATTTCATAGCTTTAAGATTTAATAACTGCCCCACCAGGTTTCAGACTTGGCCTTTGTTTTGGCCAATTTCTCCCATTTGAAAATGGGACTTTTTACCCAATGCCTGTGCACACACTGTGTCTTGGAACTAACTTGCTTTTGATTTTACAGGCTCATAGGTAAAAGGGCTTGTCTTGTCTCAGATGACACTTTGGAATTGGACTTTTGGGTTAATATTGGAATGAGTTAAGGCTTTAGGAGACTGTTGGGAAGGCGTGATTGGATTTGAAATGTGAATAGGTCATGAGATTTGGGAGGGGGCAGGGGCAGAATGATGATTTGGCTCTGTGTCCCCACCCAAATTTAATCTCAAATTGTAATCCCCGTGTGTTGAGGGAGGAACCTGGTGGGAGTTGATTGGATCATGGGGGTGGTTTTCACCTTGCTGTTCTCATGATAGTGAGGGATTTCTCACAAAATATGATGGTTTAAAAGTGTTCAGCTCATCCTCTTTGCTCTCTCTCTCTCTCCTGCCACCTGTGAAGAAGGTGCTTGCTTCTCCTTTGCCTTCTACCATGATAGTAAGTTTCCTGAGGCCTCCGCAGACATGTGGTGAGTCAATTAAACTTTTTTATATATAAATTACACAGTCACAGGTAATATCTTTATAGCAGTATGAAAACGGAATAATACAATGACTCTTCCATGGCAGGAGGAAGAAAAAGAGAAAGATGGGTGGGGGGGCACGGGCAACACAATTTTAGATGACCAGATTTTGTGAGAACTGACCCATTGTCATGAGGACAGTACCAAAAAAGATGGTAGTAAATCCTTCATAATAAACTCACCCCCATGACACCCCCCACCAGGCCATACCTCCAACATTGGGAATTACAATTTAACATGAGATTTGGGTAGGGACATATATCCAAACTATATAATTGCGCCCTTGGCCCCTCCCAAACCTTATATCCTTCTCACATTGCAAAATACAATAATGCCTTCTCAATAATTCCCAAAATCTTAACTTCTTCCAGCATTAATTCAAAAGTCCAAAGTCTGAAGTCTAATCTGAGACAAGGCTAGGCCCTTTCAACTCTGATCCTATAAAATCAAGTTAGTTATTTTCAAGACACAATGTAGGTATGTTATTGGGTAGATACTCCCATTTCAAAAGGGAAAAATCAGCCAAAACAAAGGGCTACAGGCCCCATGCAAGTTCAAAACCCAGGAGGACAGTCATTAAATTTTAAATCTCCAAAATTTTGAATTCAGTCCCACATCCAAGGCACACTGATATGGTAGGTGGTCTCCAAAGGTATTGGAAGGCTTCACCCCTGTGACTTTGCAAGGTTCATCCCTGTGGCTGATCTCATGGGCTGGTGTTAAGTACCCATAGCTTTTCTAGGTACAGGTTACAAGCTGTAAGTGGCTCCACCATTCTGGGGTCTGGTGGATGGTGGCCCCCTTCTCACAGCTGCCCTAGGCAGTGCTGCTGTGAGGATTCTGTATGAGGGCTCCAACCTCACATTTCCCCACTGCACTGCCTTAGTAGAGGTTCTCTGTGAGGGTTCTACCACTGAAACAGTTTTCTGGCTGGGAACCCAGGCTTTTTCAAACATTGTTTGAAATCTAGCTGGAGGCTCCCAAGCCTCAACTCTTACACTCTGGGCACCCACAAGTTTAACACCATGTGGAAGCCAGCAATGCTTATGGCTTGCAGCATCTGAAATGGCAGTCCAAGCTGTACTTGGGCCCCTTTGTGCCACAGCTGGAGCTGGGGTGGCTGCGATACAGGGAGCAGTGTCCCCAGGCTTTACAGGGTATTAGGTCCCTGCGCCTAATCTATGAAAACATTCAGTTGTCCTAGGCCTCTGGGTCTGTGATAGAAGGGACTGCTGCAAGGTCTTTGAAATGTCTTTGAGGCCTTTTCTCCATTGTTTTAGCTAGTAGCACTTGGTTCCTTTTTACTTATACAAATTTCTGAGTCTACTTGAATTCCTCCCCAGAAAATGGGCTTTTCCTTTCCACCACATGGCCAGGCACACTTTCCAAACTTTTACATTCGCTTCTTCTTTAAATATAAGTTCCAATTTTAATTCATTTATTTGCTTATGCAAACAATTAAGGGTTGTTAGAAACAGCCAGACTACATCTTAAATACTTTGCTGCTTAGACATTTCTTTCACCAGATACACTAAATCATCTCTCTCAAGTACAAAGTTCCCCACCTCAGGACAGGGGCACAATGCAGCCAAGTTCTTCATTAAAACATAAAAAAGCGACCTTTGCTTCAGTTCATAATAAGTTCCTCATTTCCATCTGAGACCTCCTCAGCCTGGCCTTCACTGGCCACATCACTATCAGCATTTTGGTCATAACCACTCAACCAGACTCTAGGAAGTTCCAAACTTTCCCTCATTTTTCTGTCTTCTTCTGATCCCTCTAAACTCTTCCAAACTCTGTTTGTTACCCTTTTCCAAAGCCACTTCCACATTTTTAGGTGTTTTTAGAGCAATGTCCCACTCCTTGGTAACAATTTTATGTATTAGTCTATTCTTGCATTTCTATAAAGAAATACCTGAGACTCGGTAATTTATAAAGAAAAGAGTTCTAATTGATTCATGGATCTGCAGGCTGTACAGGAAGCATAGTGGCTTTTGCTTTAGGGGAGGCCTCAGAAAGCTTCCAATCATGATGGAAGGCAAAGGGGGAGTAGAAATCTTGCATGACAGCAGCAGGAGGAAGGTGGAGAGAGGTGCTATACATTTAAATGACCAGATCTCACAAAAACTCATTCACTGTCGTGAAGACAGTACCAAGATGGTGTTGCTAAATCATTCATGAGAAACCCACCTCCATGATATAATTACCTCCCACCAGACCCTCCTTCCAACATTGGGAATTACAGTTTGACATGAGATTTGGGAGGGTATATATATTTAAACTATATCAGGTGGGTATTGGGAAAAAGGAAGAAATAAAAAATGAGTGTGGGTAGGTATGAGCAAGTGGTTCCATTCTTTTGAGTCTTTGATCAGTCTTTCACTGAATACACAATTTACATGTGAGACAGAGGTAGAGGAATAATCACTTATTCCTTCCTCTAGGTCAGTGAATCTGCATTTTTACATAGGGTAAAATAAACTTAGGACAGAGGAAACAATCAGATATGCGTTGGTCCTAAGTGAGCAGAGGAATTGCTTTCAGTTCCATCTTTCTTCCCATAACTGTGAGGATAAGCTTTCGATGTATATTGCCAGGGTGAAGTTCAATAGAACTGTTTTAGGGTAAAGATCTGGGAACCCACAAAAAATTTGTTTTAGGTAAATTGTAAGGTTTGTAACTGTTTATCTTTGTAGCTATCTTATTTAGAAACAAAACAGGAGGCAAGTTTGTGTGGCTTTTTCCTTTGGCTTAGTGAGTTTGGGGTCCCAAGATCTCTTTTCCATTCACAGTTCATAAATATGCACCATTAAGAAGATGAAATGTCACTCATAAGTCATAAAATAGAATAAATAAATTGATAGATGAGGACAACTACAAAACATATATTGATATACACATGTAAACACACCTGCAATGGAAAATATATGAAGAATATCTTATAATTAATAACAAACATCTACAATGATACATAAAAGAGGATCTAATGATGTTAAAAATTGTATTATTTTTTGAACTGGGTGCAGGTTACACTGGCATATTTTTGAATCAAGTAATTGAAATGAACACTTACAATTAGTACATTTTCTTATATGTATTCACTCATCAGTAAAAACAAATAACTGAACCAGTTTCTGTTTTCTTCAGCTTAACCCTGAATGAGAGTGATATCTGATATCAGAAGCAAAATAAATTGTGGAAGAATCTAAGTTATAAGTAGAAATAAAAAATCCACAAAATTAATAAAAATGGAAGGCATTATTTATAACACCTAGTGGATATAACATTTTAAGTATGTGAAGACCCTGGAAACTATGATACAGCATGATCAGCAGAGGAAGCCATAATCCTCCTGGAAACATAACTCTATTGACCTGGGAAGGACACCCCCAACCCCCGACAGCAGACACAGCAAGCCCTGCCCAACAAGAATCTGAGCTAAGACATACCTAACCCTACCCCACCTGATGGTCTTTCCCACCCACCCTAGTAGCTGAAGAGAAAAGTCACATTCTCTTGGGAGTCCTAGGGCCGCACCCACCACCAAATCCTCCCTATACTACTAGAGCTGATGCTCTCTTGAAAGCTCCACCTCCTGGCAGGAGGCCAACCAGCAGGAAACCATAATATCAACAATAATAATACAACTAAGGACCCTCACAGAGTCCGTTTCACTCCCGTGCCATCTCCACTGAAGCAGGTGTTGCTATCCATGGCCGAGAGACCAATAGATGGTTCACATCACAGGACTCCGTGCAGACATCCCCCCACTACACGCCTGGAACCCAGCAGTCCCGAAGGATGGCTAGATCCAGAAGAGAACTAACAATCACTACCATATGGCTCTCAGGAAGCCACATCCCTAGGCAAAGGGGGAGAGTATTACAAGGGAGCACCCCATGGGACAAAAGAAATTACTGAGAATTTAACCAAAGACATGAAAGCATATGTCAGTGCAAATGCTTGTACACTAAAATTATACAGGCCCTATTTGTAATATCCATAAAATTAAAAACAGGCTGGGCACAGTGGCTCATGCCTGCAATCCAGCATTTTGGGAAGCCAAGGTGGGCAGATCACCTAAGTAAGGTCAGGTATTCGAGACCAGCCTGGCCAACATGGCGAAACCCTATTTCTACTAAAAATAAAAAAATTCGCTGGATGTGGAGGTGCACGCCTATAATCCAGCTGCTCAGGAGGCTGAGGTATGAGAATTGTTTGAACCCGAGAGGCAGAGGTTGCGGTGAGCCAAGATCATGCCACTGCACCCCAGCCTGGGTGACAGAGTGAGACTCCGTCTCAAAAATATAAAATAAAATAAATAAATAATTGGAAACAGAGTGAAAGTTCATCAACAGGAAAATGGACATATTAATTGTAGTATATTCAGACTCTACAATTTAGAGAGAAATAAAATGTAGCTACTGATACATGAAACAACACAAAATAATCTCTATTTTCACTGAGTTAAAGAAGATCTCAAAAGTGTATAAGGAAATTGTTCAGTGTAATTGACGTACTAATTATATTTATTTTAATTTTACTTTCATGGTAATACAGATGTAAAAACTTGTTAAATTTTATATATGTGCAGTTTATTGAACATTATTTATACCTTAATTTTTTTAAAACTACTAGAGGCAAAAGTTTGTGTACGCAGCATTGCAAAAGTGAGACATCTACTTACCACCAACAGAAACCACATAACTCACACTTCAGTCATTTAGATAGAACTGATATTAAATAAGAAAATGACAAATTATCTCATAAAATTGAGCATGTTCTACTAATATGCAGCAGAAAAGGACATACGATTGGCTCAAAATACATAAAAATGTATTCACTTTTAAACATTGTAAGAAAAATGAAATTTATGAAAACTTTGTAATACTGTTTCACCTATCATTTTGTTATATTACGAAGTTTTATAACACTCTGTATTAATTGAGGGTTTAAGAAAATGGCCACTCTCCAACTAAAACAAACAATGTCAAAAGGACTTCCTATTCAATAAATGATTGAGATAACTGGCTAACCATATGGAGACGAGTGAGACTGGATCCTTATACTCACCATATACAAAAGCTGGTAAACTCCTCCTTATCCTCACCATATACAAAAATTAACTCGACATGAATTAAAGATTTAAATGTAAGATCTCAAACTACAAAAACCCTATACAAAAACCTAACAAATACCCTTCTCAACCTATTATTTGGCTGCCTCCACTGATGAAAACTCAATGACTGAGGAAGAGGGGTGGGATGAAATTTTTTACCCCTCTATCTTTCCAAGCATATAAATAAATTACTTATTAAAAATAATTTATGGTATATTTTATCTCAAACCAAAACAACAAAATATTTGCATTTCCTTTTTCTAGAATTAGAGCCACTGCACTCCAGCCTGGGCAACAAGAGCGAAACTCAGTCGCAAAAAAAAAAAAAAAAAAAAAAAGACACATCATGCACACATAAAAATGCATATATTTAAGCATCCAAAATTTTAGAACTTCTGTTATAATGTATTTGTGAAAGTAAAAGCATGAGCAACATTCTGGAGGAAAATATTTGTAATTCATACATTAGGTAACAAACTAGGACTCAAAATATATTTTAAAGTTCTACATATCAATTAAGAAATTAAAATTTTTTTATAAAAACTGAGCAGTTCACAAAGGAAAATTATGAGGTTAATAAAAATATGTGAGAAGTTCTTTATTTTTTAACTAAACAAATGTGAAATAATCAGAAATTAGAATAATTTTCATACACTGCTGGTTGATATGTAAAGTGTTATAATAGCTTGCAAACAAAGCCGATTAAAATCTAATGAAATTAAAATTTCAGACACCAGGAATCAATAACGACATGTGTTCATAGAGACATGGGTTATGAGAATATTCAACTCAGTACAGCTTTTTTGTTATATCAAAAAATGAAAACCATGGTAGTGTTCAATATAAAATAATTAATAATTAAAAATAAAGTAATAAAAAGAATTAAAAAGAGTATAATATGAACACCCTGTAGTATTCACAAATCTATGGTAGATAGAAAGATAAGCAGATAGACACATAAATAGATATAGATAGATAACAGATAGATAAGAGATAGATAATATACATATAGTATATAGATAGATATGACAGATGTCTATTTTCTAGACACAAATATAAATATACCAAAATTATATCTTACAAAACAATTTTGAATTTTTTAAAAGTTGGAATAATATCAATTTTATAATGTAAGGATGTGTTAAGGACAAAAGTGAAAAAAAAATCATGTCTCTATATATCAACAATTCAGAAGGATCCTTACCATAGTAATGGTTGCCACTGGGGAGGAAAAAGGAATAGTTAATTTTGTAATAATGTTTAAAAGGTTTTAAATTGTTTTTGTAAAAATACAAGAAACAAATGTAAAAAAAAAGTATGAAGAATGTATTTCCATTTAGTTTTGATTCGCTTTTTTAACATTACTAAAAATAAAAATGTGAGAAATCAAACATGAGCAAGCAACTCACCAGTGCAACCTTATTTTGGAGTAATGCAACACAGTACATCAGTTATTTGTACACACATCCTCCTACCTCCGTCTGTGTATTCCTTTGTAGCATTGATGATGATTGTGTATTCTCAACAACTGCCAAGTGTATGGTTCATGCAAATAATAATAGTTATTACTTATCAAACCTTTCCTTTGTACCAAGTGCTGTGCTAGTTCACATCTTGTATCTTACACAATTCCCACAACATTCCTGAAACCATTACCTTTATTTTTAGATCTAGAACTGACGTTAAGAAATCTGTTCTAACTTGATGAAAGCCATACAACTTGTAAATTAAAGGCTGGCATTTGTACTTAGATATTTTTGACACTCGGAACTTTGCATTATATTATTCAATAAATATTGGCTGAATAAACACAACATCTGAAATTACTCTGAAAAAAGAGGATGAATTTTTATTTAAGATATAGATCATTGAAATGGACAGTTACAAGTCTCATCTAGGTAGAGAACAAAGATAAATAATTTTCTACTCGACTTTACAGAGATAAATAATTTTCTACTTGACTTATAATGGTGGAGGAGGATTGCTCTATGGCTCCAATTACAAGATAAAAAATATTAGTCTATTATGCAGTAAAAATGGCAGATATTTCTGACTTTCATATTCACATCATCAAATGATGTTAAAGAACTATGAATAACATCGGAGATACATTATTTGCCTCTTGAAATTATGTGAAAAGCTAATTAATATAATACATCAATTTTATACACTTCTAAAAAATATCTTTTGGACAGGGGATTAATGCCCAAACTTGTAATCTTATAATAGACATATTCCCCTTTGAAAATGAATTTAAATCTTTTCCAGAAGTTAGATAAGATATAGTTAATATCTATGTGTTGTCATTTAATTCTAACATATATGTGATGGAAAAGAAATGGGGTAAGTAAGAAGAGAATTTTCTTCAGCCAATGTTATTGCTTAGTGTCTTTATGACCTCTGAGAGGTGGCTACAGTTATATGATTCACTGTAATATATACAAATCAGGGCATATAAAATGATTTTTAAAATTGGAAATAAGGACTAAGGACTGTTATAAATTACCTTGATATCTCCTATATTGACGAACATCTGGAAAAAAGACATATTTTTGTGACTAAAAGGTAAAAAAATTAGTGCATTGTGAAGTAGAAATGACAGTTATTTCTGACTTCCATCTTCATATCAACAAATTATATTACATTATATATATCAACAACTGAAACCACCCTATCTCTGGACACCAGCCAAAAACTAAACAGTTTGTCCACCATGGAAGCCGATATTGTGCAGAGCTGATGCAGCCAGCTAAACGTATTATTTTGTCATATAACTTTTTTCCTCAAGTTAGGCATTATTTGCTTGTATACAAAAGCAAGCATCTATTTAAGCATCGTTTGTATATATTTTACATGGATGTATTAATCTGACATTTCTGGGATTTTGACTTTATAATCAGTTGTGATTAGAGTAGCAGCTGATAGAAATACACTGTGTCTAACCAGGCAGGCTCCAGAGGATCCAAAGGCAGGAGGAGAACATGAGTGAGAAGAAGCTGGCATGTGAGTCACAAGTTAACAAAAGAAACATGAATATAAATATTTCATGTGTCATATAATCAATTTTTATCTTCTTCCCAAAATAAAAATGTGTTTAAACTACATTAAACAATACAAGAAAACAGAGTGCAAGCTTTTATTTTGTAGTATGTGTACAAGGCCACTTCATTTTAAAATGAGAAAAAGTCATTTTTTGCAGGAGTGTACACCTTCTTCAAAAGAGTTACCCACATTAATCTTTGGCAAATGGACTGATAATATCTTTAATTCCATGAATAATTACTTTATTAGCTTTTATGGCTCTAAAATGTACAGCATGTTTTTCAACTCATTTTATGTCTATCATCTTTTAACTATAAACTAAGATGTTGAGATATTTTACAAATACAATGTAGCCATAGTTTTAACGTCCAATTTTCTCATATGCTGCTTTAATTTATTTTTGTTGGAAACTTTAGCTAATAAATATCACAGCTTATTTACCTAAAGATGTTAGCAAGATAGCAATTAAAAGAAACTTTTTTCATCATTAGCCTACAGCAAAGTAATTATTACAAAACTTAAATGTAATATGGAGTTTGTCAGTACAATACTTGTATTTCAAAAATTTAGAGGATATTCGTCCAGTTTTAATTCCCCAGTATTCAAATAGCCAACTCATTTTGAGGAAGCCCACACTATAGTATCTTGATGGAATGCAATGTTGCAGGAGACACTATGAAAACTAACGAAAAGGCCGGAGCTGAGGCTTCGGGCCTGTAATCCCAGCACTTTGGGAGGCCAAAGAGGGCAGATTACCTGAGGTCAGGAGTTTGAGACCAGCCTGGCCAACATGGCAAAACCCCGTCTCTACTAAAAATACAAAAATTAGCTGGGCATGGTCCGTGGGCGCCTGTAATCCCAGCAGGAGAATCACTTCAACCCGGGGGTGGAGGTTGCAGTGAGCTGAGATCGCATCACTTCACTCCAGCCTGGGCGAAAGAGAAAGCTCGGTATCAAAAAAAAAAAAAAAAAAAAAAGTAAAGAAAAAATGAGTCTGTCTTTCTTCCTTGTCACTGGGAGCTTACATGTAAGCAACATGATATGGTCTAGTCATTCAGACAATCGTACCCAAGAAACCGAATCTTCAAGGTGCATTTAAAAATGCAGTAATAATTAGATGATGGTAATGACAATAAGGAGCATATGTCAGTGAATGAAAATGACTAGTGGATATAGCAATAGCAGAGGCAAACATATGATGCTGTTTCTGTGGACAATATCAATGGTGCTCCATGGTGCCTTGTATTAAATGCAAAGTAGCTGTACCAAATTAGTAAACTGTATGGCATTATCAGCAAGCCTCATAAGGGAATTAAATAATTTAATGGATACATATTTTTTTCTCACAAAATTAGTGGCTAGCAAACATGGTGATAGATTAGCAATTCATTTATATGCAGAAGAAGGTTTTTGGTTCATAGTCAAATTCCTGATGGGTCTTATCTAAGGAGATAATCAAATCTGGGGTGTGGTTTTTTTGTTTGTCTGTTTGTTTGTTGTGTGTGTGTGTAATATATGTATTTGAGAAAGGGTCTCCCTTCATTTCCCGGGCTAGAGTGCAGTGGTGTGATATCTCACTATGCCTCAAACTCTTTGGATCAAGCAATCCTCCTCCCTCAGCCTCCTGAGTAGCTAGGACTATAGGTGCATGCCAATGCACCAGCTTGCATTTGAATATATTAATAATTATTCTTGGTAATAATTTGGTAAGCAGTGTCTATCACTAACATTATATGATTTGTCCTACAGGAGACATTTTCAGAAAGCACAGTTCCATGAGTGATGCTTTTCTCAATTAACATAAAAACAGATTAGTGAGAAAGTGTAGAAGTTAGATGTGAAGATAGTAACAGTCTAGTTCAGTCCATTTCATTGTGAAATTTATTCTCCTCAAACCTGAAAATATTTAAAGGTTGTTTGTCGCAGTTTAGGCATATTCTCAATCTCAACAGTAACATCAATTAAATTATTCAGGTTTTAAATTAGTTGCTTAAGTTGTCTAGTAGCTTTTACAATTTTTTAAAAAAAATTAATTGACAATAATTGCATATATATATATTACAAAATGAGTCTTTTTAATAAAGATATTTCAACTGATATATTTATTCTTATTTATTAATTAGTTGCATTTATACAATTAAATTAAAAATAAAAAAACTACATATTAATTCTGTTTTCATGATTGCTTCACTCAAAAACAACTTTTTAATTACTTTTATAAGTACATTAAAAAAGTATTAAAGTATAAATTGCACGTAATCAAATGATGAGTTTCTCAAACGAATACACTCAGGTTTCAACTTCCTCAGTAAGTTTTATTTTTTCCCCAAGTTTATACCTATATCCCCAGTAGAAAACCACTGCTCTGAGCTCTGAATTCACCACCACAGCTTAGTTTTTAGTTTCCTGTAGTTTCCTCAGTTTTTGTTTCCTGTAGTTTTTAGTTTCCTGTATGTACGTAGTTTTGTACACTTTTACTAAACATAATTTATTTTGAGATTTTCTGATGTTGTGTATCAGTAGTTCCTGTTTTCTGAGGTATATTTACAATTGAAGAATAAACATAAAACAAGGTAATTAATTATACTCTTATTGATGAACATTTGGATTTTTTTCAGTTGCTTTTTCTTATGAAAAAAGATGATATAAATATTATTTTACTAGGATTTTTTGCTCTTATGTGTCTTAATAACTATTGGGGATACAATAAGCATGAAGTTTTTAGGTTATTGGGTAAATATAGAAGTTAGGCATATAAGAAAGTGCAAACCTATTTTCCAAAGTTTTAATAATTTATATTCTTATCTGCATATTTAAGAATAGAATTATATTACCTCCTTGCTAACGTGATATTTTTCATGTTTTAAATTGTACTCATTCTGGTGAGATTGACGTGATATAATATTTTGATTTTATTTTGCTTCTCCCTAATGATTAATGATGGTGAGTACCTTCTCCATCTCTTTTTTTAACAACATGCTCTGCCTTGCCATTTATTTAAATTTTTTTCGTATCTCTCAGTATTGTCTTTCATAATTGAAATTTAACAACTTTATTTTATTTAATATTTTCTAATTAACATATAATAGTTGTACATGTTTATGAGGTACACAGTGATGTTTCAATACATATAATATATAGTGATCAGATCAAGGTAATTCACATACCCGTCATTTCAAACATTTATCATTTTTTTGTGTGTGTCTTGGAAACAGTAACTACTCTTTTTTAGCTATTTGAAACTATACAATATACTGTTGTTAACTATATTCATCCTAACATGGCAAGTCAAAATCACGCTGAGGTATCATCTCACCCCTTTTAGGATGACTGTTATAAAAAAAAAAGCTGGTAAGGATGCAGAAAAAAGAGAATTCTTATACGCTGCTGATAGGGATGTAAACAAGTACAGCCACTGTGTGTAATAGAGTATGGATGTTCCAAATAAAAACAAAAACAAAAACCTACAAGTAAAATTAGCATTCAATTCAGTACCTTGATGAGCACCTTTTCTTCTGATTACTGGTAATTCATATATTTTAGCTATGTCTGATTACTGGTAATTCATATATTCATATATGTTTCAAGGGTATTGCTCAATTTTATTGTGTTGCCTTTTTAATATTGATTTGTAAAACTCTAAAAAATATTTTGCATAGAAGTTTTTTGTTAAATACATTGTGCAAATATTTTCCAGCCTGTGTCTTATCTTTTTCTTTTTCATTTTAATGTATAAGAGAACAAGGGTTTCATCTTGAAAACAATCCAGTTTTTATTTTTTTCCTAATCTCAGTGCTTTTTTGTTTTTATTAATTTATCTTTACTTACCCAAAATGAGTGAAAATATTCAATTTTTATTCCAGAATTTTTACAGTTTAGCTTAAAGTTTAGGTCTGTGATTTATCTCAAATTAATATTTTTTGTATGTCATGAGAAATGGGTCAAAGCTTTTTTTTTTCCCTTACAGATGTCCAGCTTTTCCAGGACCATTTGTTGAAAGGACTATTCTTTCCCCCCTGATTAACTTTGGTTTTTTAATGAAAATCAAATAACTATATATTTGTAAGTCATTTTTAGATGTTTTATGTATATACTTATACAAATGCCACACAATTTTGATTATTGTAAATTAACAGAAGGCCTGAAATCAGAGATATAAGTTTTATAACTTTTTTTAAGGAGCATTGTGGCTATTTTGTGACCTCCTTGTTTCCATATAATTTATAATAATGTCATAAGTTTCTCCACAGACATTTGAGAATTATGATTAAAATGGTATTCAATATTGAGGCTGATTTAGCAAGAATTGACATCTCAACAATGGTATGTCTACTCATTTACATCATCTGTCTTCAAGACTTCTCTGCAATTATTTCTACCAATAACATGAAAACATTTAAATATTGTTAATATGTATTCCTAACTAGTAATGTTATATTATATTTTGTATGTTAAATGTAAATTTCCAATTATTTATTTTTCGTATATAGAAATGCAATAGCATTTTGTATAGTTGACCTTTTATTTACTTTCATTGTTAAATTCCCTTAATAAAGTCTTGATTTTGGGAAGATTTCTTCAGGTATTTTACACACAAATTATGTCTTTAAAAAATGAAAACGCTGGTGTTTTATTGAGGATTTTTGCATAGATGTTCATCAGGGATATTGGCTTGAAGTTTTCCTTTTTTGTTGTGTCTCTTCCTGGTTTTGCTATAAGGCTGATGACGGGTCAATAGGTGCAGCAAACCCCCATGACACACGTATTCCTATGTAACAAACCTGCACGTACTGCACATGTATCCCATTTTTTTTTAGAAGAAATAAAGAAAAAATGAAAATGCCGTTTTAATTTTTACTTTGTGCTCCTTATGACATTTGTATTTTTTCTTGCCTTATTGTACTAACATATTAGGAGACACAGTAGAAATTCTAAACTTGTTCTTGCTTTTTAATTATCTTGTTTATTCAAATTTTAATATATATAGGGTTGTTCACATTTTCTATTCCTTTGCATTCATCTTTGTAAGTAGTGCCTTTCAATGGATTTGACCATCTCATCTAATTTGTAGGATGTATTGACATCACATTGTTTAGAGTACATTTGATGTCTTTTTAATGACTGTTAGATGTGTGTTTTATCTGCTTTTTCCAAATAAATGGGAATTTGCTTTATTATTACTAAAATATTATTATATTATTATTAAAATATTGGCTTTGATAATTTTCTCTATTTTTCTCCTTTTATTTTTATTGTATTCTCATTGTACATTTTTTCTCTATTTTGTGTTAAATTTGCTTCCCTTCTTATTGCTTAAACTGAAAGCCTAAACCATTGATTTTTAAACCTTTCTTATTTTTTAATGAAAGCAAATCAAGCTATACATTTTTTATAAGTAATACTGTAGTAATTGTTACATGTTGTGTTTTATTATTATTCTTTTTGGTATATTTTCTAATTTCTATCGCAATTCTTTTTAGCTCCTGATGTATATGAATGCATAATTTTATTTCATTATTTAGGAAATTTTTTGGCAAATTTATTCTGATTGGTTTATAGTTTAGTTAACTTTTAGTCAAAGAATATACTCAATATTTCAGTATAATTTATTTCTTTTAAGACTTGCTTTATGTCTCAGAATATTATCTATTTTCATCAATATTCTATATGAACTGGAAAATAACATGTATTCTACAGAAGTTTAATAAAGGATTCTAGAAATATGAATAAGATCAAGTTGGTTGGTAGAATTGTGCAAATGTTCTATGTCTTTACTTATTTTTGTGTTTTTAAAAAATATTTATTGTTTTTTATCGATTACTAAGAGAAGGGTATTCATTCCCTACTTATGATTGTGGACTTTATCTAAAAACTTTAGTTCTGCAAATTTTTGTTTTATGTGGCTTTAAGCTCTAATTTGGGGCGTGAATGTCTGTTATGCTGTTTTGATAAAATCCCCTTTAAATTTAAGAATATTCCCTTTTCCTATGATTTAATACTTTGTATTCTAAGTTTTGCATTGTCTGTTTTAGTATTTCTGTATTAGTTTTCTTTTGTTTAGAGTTAGCATATCTGTTTTTCCATTCTTTAACTTACAAAGTGTTTTACGTTTACAGGGCATCTATTATAAACAAACTATAGCTGTTCTCCAAGAGTAGACTGGGGAGAGCTCTCATGTAAACGTGAGTCTTAACCAGTGCTTTTTTTTTCTAATGTTATGCACTCTCCAGTTAGCAGAAGCTGTGGGTTAATCTCCAATGCCTTCAAACATGATTTCCCCTGTAGAGTTTATAACTTTTATATGCAAGATTGTTATGTCTAATGTAAGTTACTTTGCCATCAGCAGATCAGAAACTTTTTAGGTTTCTGATTTTGGGTATTGATATACTTCACTTGGTGTGTTAGTTGTCACTTTTTCCAAAGGAACACACGTAGAATACAAAGAATGAGGTGTGTGGTGAGTATATATGCAAACTTTCCACTTTTAATTATACTTTTTTCAAATAATTAATTATTTGCATTTAATTATTAAAATTACCAAGTAGCATTAATTATAAAAATTCTAGCAAGTAGCATGATATTTTCAGATCAAGTTCTCCATACATACCTAATATCTTACAAATGCATCTGCTAGTCCTAAAAAACTGGATTTAATATTTTCTCAAATAATAATGTTATATAAAATTTTCTCAAGAACTTGTGCAAAAATTTATATTTGCAAATAATATTAGATCAATATTATAGCTCAGATAAATGTTGCTGTAGCTCAGAAAAATATTATACTATTAACTATACTAATACATTGTAGCAGGACAAGCCTCAGACAAAACCCTTCAGACACTGGATTAAAGAAGGAAGAGGCTTTATTCAGCCAGGAGCGTTGGCAGACTAGCATCTCAAGAACCCAGCTCTCTGAAGAAAGAGTTCCTGGACCTTTTAAGGACTTACAACTCTAAGGGGTCCACGTGAAAGGGTCATGATAGATTGAGCATGCATGGGGTAGGTGACTAGACAGGGGTAGTGAGCAAGGCAAGTATTTCTCCATAGCATTGTCTGTGATCTATAGATAGCACAAGCAGTTAGGGTGGGGGTTAATCTTTAACCTACAGGCCTGGCCAGTGGCACCGATCAGTCTGTTATTTTTCAGTTTTTACTTCCTCCATTTCTATGGAGACAGGGGACAGCAGGAGAAATGGACTCTCTCCTCAATATAAAAGTCAATTACAGCCAACTTTAGAAAACAGTTTGGTAGTTCCTCAAAAAGGTAAAAGCAAAACTAATATATGACCCAAGTATAATTATGTATCAAAGAGAAATGAAAACTCATAAGTATGTATCTAAGAGAAATGAAAACATGTCCACACAGGGACATACATGTTCATAGCAGCTTTATTCATAATAGCCAAAAACTAGAATTGATCTAAATGCCCATCAACTGGTCGATGGATGGACACAGCATGGATGCTGATAGAAAGGCATACTATTTAACAATAAAAAGGAACAAACTGCTGCACATGCTACTTCATGGATAAATGTCATAAACATGTTAAATTAAAGAAGCCAGATGCCTAGACAAAGTACTGTATGGTTCATTTACATAAGACATTCAAAAGAGGAAAATTTATAGAAACAGAAAATAGATTAGTAGGTTACTAGGGCTGGGGGTGAGATTGGGGATTTATTGGTATGTGAGATCTTAATGGGGGAATAAGATTGCTTAAAAATCAGTTTATGTTAACGGTCCCACCACTCATTGTAGTTACTAAAATTCACTTGAAATGAGTTCATTGAAATGGGTGAATTTTATCATATGTGAAATATTTCTGAATAAAACTTTAATGAAAAAGTAAGTGGAATATAAAATAATGAAATAGCTATAGTAATCAAAATTAATTGGTTAATCAAAGATCTTAATAGAATATTGAAGGTTGAAAACTTTTGAAAAGGAAAATTTTGTACTTTGAAGTATAGCAGGACAAGCCTCAGACAAAACCCCTCAGACACCAAGTTAAAGAAGGAAGGGCTTTATTCGGCCAAGAGCTTTGGCAAGACTCACGTCTCCAACAACCAAGCTCTCCAAGTGAGCAATTCCTGTCCCTTTTAAGGGCTCACAACTCTAAGGGGATCCATGTGAGAGGGTCGTGATAGATTGAGCAAGCAGGGGGTATGTGACTGGGGGCTGCATGCACCGGTAATCAGAACAGAACAGAACAGAATAGGACAGGGATCTTCACAGTGCTTTTCTTATGCAAATAACCGATTAGGTAAGGGGTCGATCTTTAACTACTAGGCCCAGGGTGTGGTGGCAGACTGTCTGCTTGTGGATTTCATTTCTGCCTTTTAGTTTTTACTTCTTCTTTCTTTGGAGGCAGAAATTGGGCATAAGACAATAAGAGGGGTGGTCTCCTCCCTTAGAAGTAGGTCCGTTTGGACTTACCTATGTCTATTTTCTGATGAGCAAAATGTGTAATGCTAGAAAGTATGTGACCTTCTGAATGAGTATCGGAGTTAATCTAAAGTACATCCTACTCACCTGAAGGAATATATAAGAATTGCTAAGCCTATTGGGAAATTAAATAGCCTCATATAGTTTTCATCTTTTTTTTGTTCTCTTTTCATGCCAAATCTCTAATGGCAGTGCTAAAGAGCAATGAAATGGCCAAAGGCAGGAAGCCAGAGAGAAAAGGGAGAGAATGAAGAGCCAAATAAGCAACCTTTAAATAACTAAGAGTTGATTGATTGATTCCACCCATTTAGAAAATTATCTTAATGCCTCTGTTTGCTAAAATTTCCTGGTGGTCTTGCCAGATACTCTAAAATAGCTGTGATTTAAAACAATATGAGTTGTGTGTAAGTGCAGAAGATAGGGAGTCAGATAATTCTGATTTAAATGAAGCTGCATGAGTTCTGATCTTTGCCACCTTTCCCTGCTTTAGGTCCAATTCATATGTAAATATAGACTTAATGAACTCACACTTGTAACACACACAGTACCCAGTGCATTCTATTTTCTCAGTAAACAATAGTAGAATAAAGATAATTTTATATATAGTGGCAGTCCTCATTAATATTTAAGAAGACCATTTACAAGGATGTAGGAGTATGCCACATATACTGAAGGTCGATATTATGATAGAAAAGCAATTAATATCATTCATTCAAGAAACTATTCAATTTGGTGGCAGGCTCAGCAATTTGATTGGCCAATATGACTGATCTTTGCAGCCGGCATAATTGAATATGTTATTCTGTAAGACCAGGTATTTCATAATTTTCTTCTGTATAAATAATAAGATATATGAAAGAACACAGAATTAATAAATTAATGAATACAGCTAATAATAAAACAATAAACCCCTTCAGTAGAGAAAAGAAAGTCTAAATATACCTTTAGAATTGATTCTTCCTGTCTTACTAATCAAAGTTATTCATTAAGCAACTGTTTATCTTTCAAAGAGTCATTAGGCATCAGGCATAAGGTATACAAATGGATATGTAAATGAATTGGTAGAAAATACGATGTTTTCTTTGAAAAAGAAGTGTATAGGAAGCAAGGTGGGAGTAGAGGGGGAGTACAAAGTAACCTTAAGTGGATAAGCCAAACCTCCCTCCATGATGGGGGTCGTCAAGTCTTTTTTTCTGATAAAGGCCAGTTAGGAAATAATTCAAGCTTTACAGGCTGGAGAATATCTGTCAGAACTACTCAACTTTGCTTTTGTAGCTGTAGGGTAAGAAAGATGTATTTTCCTTACCCACTCTAGGCTTATGGCTGAGGCCCCTATAACAAGGAACAGCTTAACAAAGTAAAGACACACAAATGTACTTAATATAAGTTGTATGTGACATGGAAGCCTTCATAAGGAAAAGAAGACCCAAAGAAATAGTTAAACCTATGTGTTTTTTATGGTAGGTTTGATGAAGACTGGATAGATGTGGAGAAATATGATAGGCCCTTTGGCCTGTCATATTTCTGATAATAAATTGGAAAACTTAGTGAGGTCTGTTCAGATTCTTTTCTGTGACCTTTTGTCTTTGGGCATAAGGATATAAGGACGCTCCTTTTATCTTGCAATTGGGAAGGTACTTTTCATGTAAGGGTCTCCTGACCTGCTTTTGGGAATGTCAGAACACTCTTCAATTGTTCTACGGCCTGATACAGGGCATAGGTAGAGAAGAAAGGTGAGAGTTATCTTTCTGCCTCCGTGATTTTGCTGAAATTTCATCAGCATAAAATATTAAATATGCCACAGTGCTACATTTTGGGGTAACATGTTCTGAACTCCATTATAGAGATAACATAACCATAGGCAGAATGCTTTTTAAAAAAAAATATAAGAGCATTCTAATAATACAGTGTTATTTAAAAAAAAAAAAGTCTGATTTGTCCTAAGTGCCATATTTGTTCAGACCCTGCTCTAGGGAAAGCTACTTTAAGGGTAAACTAAATGTGTGATAGATAATTACAGTTAAAAAAATGATATGCTAAATAGTTTAAACTTGGCTCACATGTAAATATGTTCAAAGTTAATGAAGACATTTAAATTTAAGTACAAAAGAAAATATTTAGATTGAATTTCAGAAAGGCCACTCTTAATTTGGTGTCAGTTATCTATTGAAAATGTCAGTAAAAATATAGTTCAACAGAATTATAAAAGTCTGTGCATTTATGTTTAGAAACTCATAACTTTTACATTTAGCTTTCCTAATATTGTCAGTTGCTTCAATCCAATGAATAAATAATTTTGACTTTTACCTAGTAAAATCTTACAGTTTTTTTTGCTGTTATTTTTATTAGCCTTTTTCTCCAGGCTCAGTGAGCTGCAAATCTTCCCATCACACAGGTATTATCAGAGGTTTACCATGAAATTAATAATTATTGAAAGTACAAAAATTCTGATTCAGAATTTTAGAGGTTGAGTTGCACATAGTAATCTATGGTATTCAAAATTCTCTTGGACATTCCAAGTTTAAAAATACCTGAAGTTCAAGTATGGTGATTGTTTTTATTAAAATAAAAATTTCTGGATTTTTAAAAAGATTCTAGTTTTTAGAAGTTTCTAGATTTTTTTTAAACTAGTTTTCAAGGCAATTATTGACCCATGCACCTAATTAAACTCACTGTTGTAGTTAGGCAATATCTAATAAAGATTTAATCAGTATGTCTCAATTTATAAACAAAATACCATAATGTTCAATGAACATGTCATGATGAATCAAATAAATTTTTATACCAGATAACAGCCTTTTAACAGATAAAACTAAAACGAATTATGTGTCTCAATTTCTGTTTCCATCTAGGCCAGAACGAAGAACACCTTTACTCCATTCTGTAGTGGAAAGATGATAGCCTTGTCTTACTTTAGGTGATAATAAAGTACTCTAATTCAATATTACATGCTAATTATTCTGGAGTGATAATGAGCCACACCTTGCAAATTAGACATCATTGTAAGAGGGAAATTCCCCAGAGGAAGATTAAGTACTCAGAATAGTGTTTTCCTCCAAAAATATAATGAAAGCCACAAAAGTAAGCTTAAGTTTTCTGGAAGCCACATTTAAAAATTAGTAGGAAAAACAGAATATAATCAATATAAAATTAATAATGGGATATCCTCTTTCTTCTCATTCTAAATCCACCCTGGATTTAGAAGAGTTGGCATGAAAAAGTAGTAAAATATCTCATTAATCATATATTGATTATATGTTGAAATAACATTTTGAATGTATTGGGGCAAATAAAATACATTATTAAAATGTATATTCTTTTAACCATTAATACTTGTACTAGCTATATTGCATGTGTTAAATATTCACATGTGGTTACTGACTATTACATTGAACAACACAGGGTTAAAGCCCTACTGCACATCTATGAGGTAAATTAACTTGAGCAACTTGCACATCTATGTGTATGTCAAAGACTCATGTTCTTTTCTCTAAACTTGGCATAAAGATAGTAACTACTTCACTTAGTGTATATAAAGATAAATTATAATCTATATAAAATGTTTGCACTAAAAATGTTAGCTAATATTATAATTATTCTTGCTGATAAGGTCCAATTTACATACTATGATTCATACACAGAAGAAATAAAACTTTCATGACATTTTATGTGACCTTTACTTGATGTAATAGTTAATTCATGTGTCAACTCACCTGGGCTATGGTGCCCAATTGGTGATCAAATACCAGTTTAGATGTTGCCATGAAGGTGTTTTTTAGGTGTGATTAACCTTTAAATCAGTAGGCTTTGAGGAAAGCAGAATACCCTCTATAAATGGGTGGGTCTCATTCAATCAGTTGAAGGCCTTAATTAGGAGAAAAGCTTGAGGTTGCCTAAAATATAACTAATTCTGCTTCCAGAGTGAGTTCAGATTCAAGACCGCAACATTAATTCTTGCTGGAGTTTTCACAACACACACACACACACATTTCTATTAGTTCCATTTCTCTGGAGAACCTTGGCTAATACACTTTCCTTAATTCCCTTATCCCCAAAGTAATAACAGAGTATGCACTCAGGAGAGCATGCCATTATTAAATCAGGTTAACATGCTGTTTTCATTTAAACGGTCACTTTTTGTTGTATAATCATATACTTTATTTTCCAAACTGAGATATTTTTGAGATGAAAGTGTGCAATATTTACAATTACAATAAATTATATATAAACAGAGGCTAGCCCAAGAAACCCAAGAGTAACTGTTACTTTACCTTTAAGTAAGCTTAGCATTTTAAGTAGATATTTAGTCTTTCAATTTTGTTCTTATTTCCATTTTTTTCCCATCCCTTCATTCTCTCCAAGTTTGCAGGGATAGCTATCACTCTATGCCACGGTGATGGGTTTCTGGAAAATGTGCTGCCCTCATGTTGAGATGTTTCATTTACTCAACTCAGAACTTTCACCACTATTCTTGATGACTGCAATGCTGTGGGGGCTACAGGTGGTAAAATTGATGACCACTGCACTGAGCATGAACAATGCATGACAAAGGTTCTTGTGTGGGATGTCCATCCCCTGCTTATGGGATTAGTTCTACTATGTCAGCTCAATTTGTGGTATAAAAGCAAAAATTATACCTGAAAAAATTAAACAGGAAAGGAAGATTTATTCAAGCCTATTGTAGCATGGACAAAAGACTGTAACTCATTCTGAACTCAGCTCCACTGAAACAAAGGCAAAAAAGTTTATTAGTACTGGGGTGAGGTACTGGAAAAGTACTAGAGGATGTTGGGGGAAGGTTGATCCACAGGATATGTCAAGTACATTGATATGGCTTGGTTCTGTGTTCCCTCCCAAATCTCACCTCTAATTGTAATAATTCCCATGTGTTTGGGAGGGACTGGTGGGAGGTAATTAAATCCTGGAAGTGCGTTCTTATGATAGTGAGTAAATCTCATGAGATCTGATGGTTTTATAAAGGGGAGTTCCCCTGCACACGCCCTCTTGCTTGCCACCATATAAGATGTGACTTTTCTCCTCATTCACCTTCCACCATAATTGTTAGGCCTTTGCCCAGACATGTGGAACTGTGAGTCAATTAAAAGTCTTGTTTATAAATTACCCAATCTCTGGTATATCTTTATTGGCAGCATGAGAACAGACTAATACACACATTGAGTGATTCCTGAATTTGCAAATATGATTAGGTCATTTCATTTTCTAATTGGCACCCATCAAGTTGGGCTACTAACTTCCCACAGAGACTGGGAAATAGAGGCATTATTATATTCCTTGATAATTACCCTTGAAAAGGATGTCCCTGGTCTTTGAGAAAAACATCTTTTGGATTGTAAGACTGGCAGGAGAATTTTTATAAAGATTTACAACTCTAAGCGACAGAGAATTTGCAATTATACAGTTTCTAAATAGTGCTATAAGAACAGGGAGTTCAGAGGCTGATAATATGGATAAAATCTGTCTAATGTTTCATCAAGTTGAAAGTAAAACTTTGCAAGGAAGCCAATAATCCAAACACATCTAGCTGCAAACAGAGAGACACAGTACATTTCAGCACAATCCAAATATTGTTATCTTGGCACAATGTGGGAGAAACAACACTTTATACTAGTCACTAATTCAGAACATATTTTGCCTCCTGGAGATCCCAACACTACAAGGTGCCACTTAGTCTGCAGTGTAATTTACCATTTAAAAGACCATTTTAATATTCTATCAGGGTAGCTATTTCAGAATGATAGGGCATATGGTTCAACTGCAAAATCCATAAGAATAAGCCAAATTCCACTCTTCATTAATTTAAAATTATTTTCCTGGTCAGAAGAAGTGTTATGTGGTAGAACATGATGGTGAATACACTTAAGGTCACAGGTGGTGATATTAGAAGTATTTCATGCAGGAAATGTAAGCAGATGCAGATTAAGCATCCATTCCAGACAGAATAAGGCATGGCTCTATTGATAATGGAAGTTTTCAAATATATTTAATCTGTTTCTATATAACAGGCTCTGTGCTATTGATGTACAGTGCTATATCAAGGGCTCTTTGACTTTACTATAGGCAGGCTGGGGAAAAAGCAACAGCTAAAATCACCCTGTATGTTTCAGCCTAGATGTTTCTGATAGTTAGACTAACTTTTATAGCCATATCCTTGTTTCCATAGCCACACTTTTACTGAGAAAAACAGGGATTATTGGAGAGAGAGGCTGGCTGATATCCACACAAAGGATTATCTTGCCCAACTGATTATTAAAATATTTTTCTTCTGAAGATGCTCTTTAGTAAGCATTTTCAGGGTAAACAAGTATGTAACTCTTTGAGGCCATTCAAAGATGTTAATCCACACAATTCTTTCCACAGCCTCCTTGCCAGCACTTTTCTAATCAAATTTTTCTAAGGTCTTGGCCAACCATCCAAATCATTAGCCATTGTCTCTAAATCAGTGTAGATCCATATCTCAGTCTTCTGTTTTTCAGGCCAAATAACAGGCAGGTCTTCAGCCACTGAGGTGATTTCCACTCACTCCTGTACATAAGGTTTCCCATGAGTGGGGGATGAAATGTAACAGCTGTCCATTTTCTGTTGTTCGTAAATTATGTAGAACTATATTTATATTTAAAACAGCATCGAATTATTTTATTCCTCTGGTTGTCATAATCTCCTCAAGAGGTTACCAGTGTGGAGTGAGAAGCAGGAAACATGCATTCTTAACCACTTGTTTATGCAAATTACTTATCCCTTCAGAACATTTGTAAGCCATATTTAGTATGTGTGTATCATTTTCACTTGTTGATAGACTAGTGCTCTATATATCCAACCTGAAGGTGTAGAATATTAGAAAAACTCCTAGGACATATTGTGGCCCATGGTCTCATATTATGTTTCTATTATGGCTCAAAAGATGTTTTTGAAAGAGCTATCTTGTATTGGCTAAGGATGGCATATGTTTACTTCAAAACCCGAAAGGTCTATACTGGATTCACCCACAGTGACCTGCTAAAGGCTCCATATATAAAACTTATCTGACTCTTACATCTCAAGCACTATTGTGTCTCCTCAGTCATCTGGTCCAATTGTCAGAAAAGCGTATATGACATCACAGACATAATGCATATTGTTCTCTTGCTCTCGCATTCCACTCAAAACTGGAAGCCTTTCAGTGAGGTACGTATGGACCTTCAAAAACAAAAGTGTTTACTGGATAGTTTTCCTCTGTCTTAGTGGTGGGTAGTGCCAGACACAGCAGTGTGAATTTGTCCTCTTCTGATGCAATGTTTTAATATGCCACAGACTCCTCATACATGGAATTTGCATGGGGGTAGGAAGCTCCTACATTTTTTGAGATTTATTTTCCACTTTATGACACGTATGTGTCTTACTGTTACTGATGAGAGGTTCTTGTCTCTCAATGTAACAAAAGTTAACTTGAAATAAGGCAAAATTTTCCAGAGAGGTTTATTAAGACTTATACCCAGAAAGGCTGAACATTAAAGAGATAGCACAGGAAAACAAACAAACAAACAAAAACAAGACAACAACAACCAAAAAAACATTCTGCAGCTTATGCACTCCAGAGGGGAGTGTATTGCAGTGTCCTAAGGAGGGCAACATACATAATTCATGAAGCAGATGAGCATTATTATATGTGCTGAGTGGAGTGCAGAGTGCACAGGTAGAGAAATCATGCTAGCACTTACACTGCATGGTCAGAAAATGGCAGATAAGCCCCTCTCTGGGAAAGATTTTACTCTCATAATGAGGCTGGGATTAAAGATAAGCCATTCTTCTGGATTTGTGCAAACAGGGGCAAAAGGGTTAACTCCTCTGAGTTATATTTATGTTGGGATGTTGCTTATTTTAGTTTCCAAGGTCCTGAAATCAGTGGGTATGGCACTTTGAGTAAGATTCATGGTGCAAGGTCTGGATGGTCTGGCTGGGGTCTTTGCTGGCCACAGGTCCACCTCCACCCACCAGCTTGTAGTAAAGCTCTCCAGTGGGGAATAGAGGCCTAGTCCCATCCCTATTCTGTCTCATTACAAATAAGCAGAATAGCTTTCTACTTCTTGTACACCCACTCCAGTTAGCATAAGATGAATTTCATGGACTAGCACCATGCTCTGTGTGATTGAGAGGATATCAAACTCCTACAGAATATTCTATGAATGAGGACTAGACAGTAAATATAAGCCTGAAATAGGACAGTGAGATTTATACTTGGCCCTGCCAGTTAAACTGCTTTCAGTGGTCTTTGCTAACAAGTTCAATTTAGTAGCTACATATCATGCACCATTTTTGTTTGTTTGTTTGTTTGTTTTAATTTGTTTCAGTAAATCTGGAGCAACAGATTGGTTCCCTTACTTTACTAAATGTATGAAAATACATTTTGATCATCCACTTTCCATCTATTATTGGCTCTTTCTCACTGAAAGCATTTGAGCAGGTAAAGGTTTCTGAATGAATTAGGTGTGACTGGCTCATAGTTTATTTCTTCATTATGCTGGCTCAGTGCAGACAATTAGGAAGATCAAGACCCCTTAATCATTTGGGGATGAAAGCCAATATACTAGGAGAACTTTATATAGTTTTGGTCTATAGTTTACATAAGACTCGTTAATGCACTTAGGTACCCTCCTCCTCATGATCATCATCATTGTCACTTGGCATCAGATTATAAAGTGACTTCCTTCACATTCCAGTTCTGTGAAATGAATTTAGGTGTCACAACTTGTTATGGAGATAGAGGTTTTACAAGAATCATTAAGTAAAAAGCTCCAAACAGGGTCACATTCTGAGGTATTGGAAGTTAGGACTTCAACATATACATTTTGAGAGGGAAACAAGGCTACCCATAACAAACTGTGACACCTAAATTCATTTCACAGAACTGGACTGTGAAGGAAGGCACTGCTATGTTACAGACAAGAAAGTGCCTATCAAATATAGACACCTCTATTCTGGTTGTGGGCTCAGGAATCAGTTGCCATTGGGCTAACGCAATAGAAAATTCAAATCTCCTGTTTTGTGCTTGATTTGCAGAACTCAACTATACCTACAACTTTGGGGCTAAGGAGTCTCATACATATAGTGTTTTGCTTCTCAGTACTGGTGAAAAGAAAAGCATACCAGAAAGATACTAAAAAGAATACTGAGCAAGCCAAACCACAGAACTTGCTACAAAATGGTGTAGTGATTTGTGCATTTCCTGTTTAGTAAATGAAGAAGTCAGGACTAAAATGTTTAAAAAAAAAAAAAGAGTAAGGTAAATCTGCAAATTCTCTGATTTTGTGATTTTATATTTACATATTCTATTGCATAATACAAAATTGAGTGATTAATAAAAGGAAATATTCACAGGAAAATGATGAACAGATTAATGAAAATATTTTTTAAACCTAGAGTTTCACAGAGAAAACACCACACTTTAATAATTAACTAGAAGGCTGTGATTTTAATTATTGCATGTATTGATGCCTTGCTCGTCACCATTGTTTGGTATAATGGCAAGAAAATCTATCTGAAAAATAGACACTTCCGAGAGCCATAGTTACTTGTGCCAAACCCATCTCCACTTTCTCCATACTAATTTGCATTGTGAGAAGTTGAATAACTTCTTAGACCTTAAGACTTTCATATATAAAAGAAAAACTTATAGAAATTAAAAACTAAAAACTAGACAACTTTTAAAATTTCCCTACTTTGAATGAGCGTCAAAAATAATATTAGTACAAACTATAATATTGAAATTAATTTAAGCACTATAACTCCCTGGAAAAAAATCAATAATCCTAATAAAACTAGAATTTCTTAATATGCAATTTTTTTAATTTAATGCAGGATATGCTGTCTTTACTAATAAGAGGGTATTTGTATTTGATTTTAAAATTCACTTTCTTAACTAGGCAGTTAATACATACTGACAATATGTTATAAAGCTGTTGAAACACATCTCAATTTCTATGCAATTTGTATGGCATAAAATCATAGAAAAAGATATTTTATTTCCCAATAGAGGTTTCTGGTTTTTCACACTGAAATATAACTTTAAATGTAGAGAAACTTATTAGGCTGAGATAATTTGATGAAATTTCATATTTTTACACACATCTACGTATTATAATCTGACTCTATATTAATAAATTGTACTCAGGCTGTATATTTACTTATCAGTCATGCATATGCCAGAGGGGAGCACTTTGTGCATTTGCCAGCTCCCAGATGTTGCATTAGATACATATTCTACTCTCAGCTGACAAACTAGACTTAATACATGTATTTGGTGTCACTGAGTTTTAGTAATGCAAGTAAAATTTTGTTTCAGCTGATTTAGTTGCAAATAGCTAAATAGGTTAACCATCTGGATATCACAGACTCTAAATCAAGCCAGTGTTGACCCCTCAAAATATACCTATCTTGAGACTTCTTCTATTAAGCCATTCTGCAAAATTATCCTATTATCCTTTCAATTATCTTATTGTAATGTTTCTTTAATCGTCAATTAAAAGGGCAGGAAATATAAAATTAAATGAAACAACTCAATTCTAATGGGTTTTAAATATTTAAAGAGCTGTAGTAACTTGATTTATTTAAGTTATTGTTCTTTTGTTTGTGGATTTGTGAGTTATTAAGACATGCTTTAGCTCATTTAAATGACTTTTTGGCTGTGGGAATTTTAATTTAAGAAAACTTTTCATGTAAGTAGCAGTAATGCTTCTGAGTAAACTCAATGGATTTCAGATCATTTGTATGGTTTTAGAATCATGTTATTTTTAACAATAAAAAAATGATATGACAATATGTATTCTAATCTAACAAGAATGATAAAGTTTAATTTTATAGAAAATATCATTCTATAATATCTACAAAATTGGTAGTGGTGTGTGTATCTTTAAATCATTGATAGTATGCTCCTCCTTAATACAAACTAATGTAACATGTATACCTTAGCTATTAGGAAAATTACTTTCTCTTTTGTTGTAATATATATGGAATAATGGTAATTAAACACGCACAAATAAAGACATATTTTTATTTATGAGAAACAGCTCAAATTTTTCTGGCTCCATTTTCCGAAATGTTTCCTAAAATATTATGGCTGATCTTTTTAACTATTTATTTACATCAAGCTTAATACTTAAAAGTAAAATTCTAACCATTCCAATGTAAAGTCTTGACAAAAACTTTAAAATGTAGACTCAATTAATTGAGCATAAACCCTTTGTTTATGCTATTGAATATCATCATTCCAATGTGCTATATTATTTACCTAAGTAGAAATTTATATCAGTTCAGGATAGTGGTATTTTCTTACTGAGTGTCTCTTCATTTACTGTGAAGAATACCTGTGAGCTGTGCAGTACTCTACTACTATTGATAAAGCAATGAACAAAATAGATGACTTACTTGGTTTTACAGAGTAAAAGTAAGAGAATTCTATACCACAGATTGTGCAATGTAAATTTGCAGACATTTTTAACCTGTTTATTCACAAATTTAAGGATACCTTGAAGTAGCAATAGAATCACTAAACAGTAGTAAAAATAGAATATGCATGAGAACTTCAATTCTTTTCTGAAATAGATTTATGATAATAAGGGAAACAACTAGAGACTTTAAGCTGAGCAATTCTTTAACCTTGAATCTTGTTCTAGCTTATATTGTAGCATGCTATTATCATATTACAGTTTATCAACAAATGCAGCTGGATGGGTAAATAATATAAGAAGTTATTGAATAATGGAGAAATACATGGGTAGAGCAGTCTTGGTGCCTCTTCTAACTGATCATGCTGAAATGACAAGTATGTTTTTATATGTTTACAACCCACATACTATGCGCAAGTTTCATGACACTATCCTCAGAGTCTTTATACCGGGTTGTGTTGTATGGACGTGGCTAAGACTGGTGTCTCATGTTAAGTTTCCTGAAAATAGACATTGAGATGAGAATTTGAAGTCACGATATCAATTGGACAGTTTTCTTAGAATACCTCAACAATATTTCAACCATACCTCAATAAAAGTGAGAGGCATGAATATGCAATAGAAAAGGCTGAACTTTAATGCAGATACAAGAGAGTGGTCCGAGGATCCCGTACGGTGTTCTAAAGCGGAAATCTCCCTTCAAAGATGTTGCAAATAAAAACAAGGGGTTTATAAGAAGACAAAACCAAATACTGCACATTCTCACTCATAAGTGGGAGCTGAACAATGAGAACACATGGACACAGGGAGGGGAACATCACACACTGGGGCCTGTCACAGGGTTGGGGGGCAAGGGGAAAGAGAGCATTAGGAGAAATACCTAATGCATGCAGGGCTTAAAACCTAGATGATGGGTTGATAGGTGCAGCAAACCACCATGGCACATGCACATGTATGTAACAAACCTGCACGTTCTGCATATGAATCCTGGAACTTAAAATATAATTAAAAAAAGAAAAAAAGGGGGGTCAGGCCTTTCTACTCAAACATCCACAACATTCATCACAGAGTGTAGCTGAAGTTTGGATGGTATAACACCTTTATTCTGGAGACGATTTGAGGGGAGACAATCAGCATTGCACCATCAGCAGTTTTCCATCTGAGGTGGCTCAGTCTTGAAGAGGAAAATCAGTGAAGCAAACTATAATCTGTACTATACTATACTCCTCATCCTGCTCAGATACACTAATTTAATGTAAATGTATATGAAAGTTTACTTATTTCATAAGTTTATAACTTACGAAAATTTTCTCCAGCATTCTGGCAGGTCTCCCTTCTTAGGAAATACTAAAATATATTAGTAAGAGAAGATACAATCCCTGCCTCAGAATTTGGCTATGGGGTCAAAACTAAGCTCAAGTTTTCATCCTTATACTATAAGGTCTAGATTACCTCTTTTAATAAGTAGCACTTTTATAGGCTTTGGCAGCTTATCAGGTGGGGTGACTCTGCCACTAATCACTGATTTGTCTGTTTCTCTGGTCACCATGCACTTCATAGGACATAAATCACACATTTATATTTTTTCCATCAAAATTAGGCAAGATTATTTCAAGAGATGTACTAAAGGATTGCCAACATGACAAATATATTCTTAACTCCCCCAGGTTTGAAATAAACAACAAGCCGGGCGCGGTGGCTCACGCCTGTAATCTCAGCACTTTGGGAGGCCTAGGCGGGCAGATCACGAGGTCAGGAGATCAAGACCACGGTGAAACCCCATCTCTACTAAAAATACAAAAAATTAGCTGGGTGCGGTGGCGGGTGCCTGTAGTTCCAGCTACTCGGGAGGCTGAGGCAGGAGAATGGCGTGAACCTGGAAGGCGGAGCTTTCAGTGAGCCGAGATAGCACCACTGCACTCCAGCCTGGGCGACAGAGCGAGACTCCGTCTCAAATAATAATAATAATAAATAAATAAACAACAACAAAAAAGCTACAAACTTCCTAATGTGAAGTATGTAAAACTCCTGGCAGGTTGGTGACTAATTTTCTTGCCTCCAAAAAAAAAACAAAAACAAAAAAAAAACCACTCCCTATTACCAAGAGCGATTCATCCCAGGGATGCAATGATGGTATAACACATGGAAATTAGTAAATATAACATAGCAAATTCACAGAAAGGACAAAAACTATATGATTGTCTCTGCAATGCAGAAAAAGCATTTGACAAACTTCAAATATTCTTTCACGACAAAAACTCTGAAGAAATTAAACATGAAATGTGCATACCTCAACACAACAAAAGCCATATAAGACATTTCAACAGTTAACATGATACCAAATGAAAAAAAATTGAAATCTTTTCTCTAAAATCAGAAACAAGACAAGGATGCTACTTTCACCAATTCTATCCTTCACAGTACTGGATGTCAGTCTCAGCCAGAGTAATCATGCAAGAGAAAGAAATAAAAGGCACCTAAATACGAAAGGGGGAAGTCAAATTGTCCCTGTTTGCAGATGAAATAATTTTGTATTTAGAAAACCCTAAAGACTACCAAAAAACTATTAGAAATAATAAATGAATTTAATAAAGTGGCAGAATAAAACATTAACATATGAAAGTCAATAGGTTTTCTATATGCTAATAGTAAACTGTCTGAAAAAGAAATCAATAAAACCATCCCATTTAGAATAGCTCCAAAAAAAAATAGGATACCTGGAAATAAATATAACCCAGTAGGTAAAAGTTCTCTGCACTGAAACTGTAAAACACTGATGAAAAAAAAATTGAGGAGAGCACAAATAAGTGGAAAGATATCTCATGTTCATTACCTGGAAGAATTAATGTTACTAAAATGGGTAAACTACTCAAAGTGATCTACAGATTCAATGCAATCCCTATCAAAACAGTAATAACATTCTTTACAGAAAGAGAAAAAAATCCAAAAATTTATATGAAACCACAAATGACCCAAATAACCAACACAATCTTAAAAAAAAAAGCTGGAACCATTACACTACCTGACTTCAAAATACATGACAAAGCTGTAGTAACGAAATGGCATGATATTATCATAAAAACAGACACATGGACCAATTAAACAGAATAGAAAGTCAAGAAATAAATTCACCCACTTACAGCCCACGGATTTTTGACCAAGGTTCAGGAAACACACATTGAGAAAAGGACAGTCTCTTTAGTAAATGGTGTTGGGAAAATTGGATATTGAAATGCAAAATAATGAAACTAGACCCTTATCTTTCACCATATACAAAGATCAACTCAGAATGGATTAAAGACTTAAATGTAAGACCTGAAATTATAAAACTTCTAGAAGAAAACATAGGGTAAATGATTCACAACATTGGACTAGGCAAAGATTTTTTTGGATAAGACCTCAAAAGCATAGGCAACAAAAGCAAAAATAGACAAATGAGATTACCTCAAACTAAAAATCTTCTGCACAGCAAAAGAAATATCAACATAGTGAAGAGACAACCTATAGAATGAGAGAAAATATTTGCAAACAATACACCTGACAAAGTGTTAACATCCAGAAGCGAAAACAACTCAATACAAAAAAAAAATCTAAATTAGAATGGTCAAAAGGCCTTAATAAGCATTTTTCAAAAGGAGACATACAAATGACCAAGAGCTATATGAAAAAAATGCTCAACATCACCAATCATCAAGGAATTGCAAATCAAAACCACGATGAGATATCACTTCATTCCAGTTAGAATTGCTATTATCAAAAAGACCAAAAAAAATGTTGGTTAGGGTGTGGGAAAACTTGAACTTTTACACACTATTGGTGGGAATGTAAATTAGAACAGCCATTATGGAGAATAGTACGGAGGTTCCTCAAAAAACTTTTGAAAATTACCATATATAATGGCAATCCCTCTATAGTATATATCCAGGTGAAATGAAATTCGTATGTCAAAGAGATATCTGTACTCCTATGTTTACTGCAACACTATTCACAATAGCCAAGATATGGAATCATCCTAAGTGTCCAACAACAGATGAATGGACAAAGAAAATGTGGGATATATACACAATGGAATATTATTTTAAAAAATCATATTCTATTATTTGCAACAACATGGATAAACCTACAGAACATTATGTTAAGTGAAATAAGTCAGACACAGAAAGAAAAATATCAAATATTCTCACTCATATGCAGAATCTAAAAAAGTTGATCTTGTGGAAGTAGTGAATGAAACAATGGTTATCAGAGATTAAGGAGTGCAGGGAGAAGTGGGGCCTGGGGACAGAATGGTCAACAGTTACAAAGTTAGAAAGAAAGAATAAGTTCTGTTGTCTCATTGAACAATAAGGTGACTGTAGTCAACAATAAGGTAGTGTACATCTCAAAATAGGCAGCAGAGAGAATTTTGTATTTTCTTGCCACAAGGAAATGATGAATGTTGGAGGTGATCAATATGCTGATTACCCTGATTTGATTATACACAAAGTGCACATGTATCAAAATAATACATAGTACTCCATAAATATGTGAGATTATTACTTGTCAGTTGAAAACATAAAGAAAAAAAGGTTGAATGAGAGTCTTGCTATGCCTTCTAGCAGGAGCTTTCTACCACTAGATCTGTTGCAATTAGAGGTGAGTGGACAGATTAGTCCTTGGGAAAGATGCTAAACTGGGATATTTTTATTTCCACCCTTTATTTTTTGGACTTGCATTTTGTTGATAATGGAAATATGTACCACTACATAATGCATCGGTAAATGGTAGCTCACCCTTGAAGGTTTTCATCATCAAGTTGTTACCACACCTGTGCTTTAAAAAGTCTCCATGCGTTTCTAACATGAAACTACCAAAACTTTACTGATGCGGTGTTGTGTGATTATTCTGTGGACAATGGACTCCTACCCTAAATTTAGTTTAGACATCTGACCATATTGATGATGCCATATATACACATAATCTGAGATACAAAAAAGTTTAATATTTACATTATGTGACTTTCCAAGGAAAGCAGGGTGGCTCCTAGGCAGGTCTGAAGATCTTGAGAATCCAAGGAGACTTGCTTAAAGATTTTATGGTGATTACAGAGTAAGGTTCCAGTGACAATCCCCTGAACGTGGTTTTAATACTCACTGGCACCGAAGGAGAGAGCATTAAGGTTTTCTTATCAACTTGTTCAGATATGCAGCATAGGGAAGGGAAAGGTATGAAAATTAAAATCTATCAGCAGCCAAACATTAACAAATGGAGACAGACTCTTCATTACAGGTGGTGAGCTCCTGAATCTTCACAGATTCATATTTATCTCCCAGGCTCTGAAGAACACACATTTTAACAAGCTCTCCAATGTATTTGCCAATTATTGCTCATCTAATCAAGTTAACAAAATGTCATTCATGTTAAGATGATACTTTATGGAATATACATATTATGGGTATATGTCCCTTCAAACTGCAGTCATGCACTGCAAAATAGTTTTCCAATCAATGCAACACATATACTACATTGATCCCATAATATTATAATGCAGCTGATAAATTTTTATCACGAGGTGACATCAGAGCTATTGTAACACTGTAGTGCAATGCATTATTCATGTATCTGTGGAAATGCTGGTGTAAATAAACCTACTGTGCTTCCAGTCATATAAAAGTACAGCACATACATTTATGTACAGCAAATAATATTTGATAATGATAATAAACAACTATGGTACTGGTTTATATATTTATTTTACCATACTTTTAAATTACTATTTTCAACTTACACAAAAAAGTTAATTCTGATACGGTTGTAGGCAGGTCCTTCAGGAGGTACTCCAGAAGAAAGCTTTGTTAGCATAGGTGATGACAGCTCCATGTATGTTATTTCCCCTGAAGACCTTCCAGTAGGACACAACGTAAAGATGGAAGATAGTGATATTGACGATACTGCCCTATGTTGACCTAGGCTAATGTGTGTGTGCACTTGTGTCTTAGGTTTTAACAAAATATTTTAAAAGTTAATAAAAAGAAAAAACATATAAAACAAGAATACAAAGAAGGAAAATATTTTTGTACAGCTGTACAATGTGTTTGTGCTTTAAGATGTGTTTTTTTAAAGAGTCAAGAAGTTAAAAAATGACTTAGTTTATAAGGTTAAAAGTTATAGTAATCTAAAGTTAATGTATTGGTAAAGCAAATTTTTTTCATCAACTTAATTTAGCCTAAGTGTACGCGTTTTGAAAGTCTACAGTAGGGTTCAGTAATGTCCTAAGCCTTCACATTCACTCACCATTCAGTTGCTCAGTGATTTACCCAGAGAATATTCCAGTACTGCAAGCTCCATTCATGGTAAGTGCCCTATACAGGTGTAGCATTTTTCGTCTTTTACATAATATTTTTACTTTACCTTTTCTATGTGTAGATATACAAATATTTATTGTTGTGTTACAGTAGCCTATAGTATTTAGTACAGTAACATATTGCACAGGTCTGTAGCCTAGGAGCAATAGGCTATACCATATAGCCTAGGTGTATAGTAGGCAATACCATCTAGGTTAGCCTAAGTACACTCTATGAATATTGCACAATGATGGTAATGCTTAGAAACACATTTCTTAGAACTATCCCGCAATTAAGTGAAGCATGACTGTGTATTATGACTGAAGGCAGGACATTTAACATAGGTAGCCCTACAGTAGAACTGTAAATGTAAACTGTTAGCTGTCCCACTTAATGTTTAAATTGTCTTATCTTTATTCCTGATAGGGATGGAAAATAAGGCATTTGACAGATTACAAACAGCACACATTGTACCAGAGATCCTGTTAATGTGCTTTCTCAAATATAGCTTGCTGCACAACATTTGCACTTAAAGCTTCCCTTTGCTTGAGTCTGTGGTACTCTACTTTCATCATCTAGACAATGTATCAATTTTGGAAAAGTTACAGTGATGAATTACATGGAGAAATTAGGGTACTACTAACTGTTGATATTTTAGGTCATTAAAGTAGGTAATAATGTCTGTCATCTCTCTTGGATGTAATATTTTTATTTTACAATTTTATCGTATAACATTCATGATGGGGGAATCAGTTCAGAGCCTTCCAGTTGACTTTTCCCACTATTATAGACTTAACTCACTCTCCAAGGAAACAGTGCATGTTGTGTATGTGTGTGTGTCTCTGTGTGTGTGTGTTTGTGCGTGCAGAGCTGGGGACATGTTCTGTCAACTACCAAGAATGTAATTCTAATCATAGATTTCTCAGTTGGGAATAATAAGATCTGGTCTAGGAATTTATTTATTATCTGTTCTCATGATAGTCATACTTCTACAGTGATCATAATTAAATTTGGGGTGCAACAGGTCTCAAAATGTCTGGATATTCACCAATTACCAAAGTCAATGACTCTAGGTCACTTTGAGATTGATGCATGTTTCAGGTTTGTTCCTTTTGGAGTCTTAACTTTTCCTTTAATCAATAGATCCCTGGAAATAATGTAGACTGAAGTCCAGAATCTGGCGAAGATTGTCAGATTCAGCTTTGATTGTTCTTGATTCCCATGGATTGAGCATTCTTGATAGCTTCCAGTCTTCCTTGACCCTAAGAACATCATCTTTGATTAACGATCCCATAACTCTCTGAGGTTCAAGTCAAATTTGCTGCCACTCTGACTTTTGTCACGGATTTTATAATTGTATCCACCTTATTTAAGATGGTTAAGCATTGCTCCCTGTCCTCCATTACTGCAGAATCTTATTAGATACTTTGATGTAAAGAATCTTTTGTCTGTAATAGCATCTCCTACCACAAGCTCTAGTCTACAGAAGACAGTCACCATATGACACTTTAAATGGCATCAAGGTCACCCTCATCATATTTTTTATTGCCTTGATAAAAAGTGACTTTCAAGCCCTACCACAGAACATAGTGGACGGGTGTTTTTTGTTTGTTTGATTGATTTTAGTCCTTATATAGTACACCTACTCTAGCACATTCAATTTTCTGAGCTTTTTTTTTTCTCCTTTCACCACCTACTTAGTCATTCTAGATTTCTAATTTCCTAGTGTAGCCCATCACATTATCCAAAGTTCTAAAAGCTATTCTAACAGCAATTAACACCTTTCCTTGGGTTGCTTGTCAAGGTGCTAACTCTTGTACTGTGGGAGTATGCTCACATATGGATGAACGCTTTGTTATCAAACCTTCTGTTTTACTCCTCTTGATCAGTATGTCAAGATCCAGGCCCGTAATTCTCTTGTAGCATCTTCCGGGTATAGTTCCTTTCTTCTTTTAATAGGCATAATACTTTTCTTGGTAGGATGTTTTGTGACTAATCTTATTTATGGCTCAGGTTAGAAGAAAGGAAGGTGAGTATAGATAATGGATTTGGTGCCATCTTGCAAGGTCTTTGAATCATATTTAAGAAAGAGGGAATGCTACACTTTAACAGAGAAGCTTGGGATACTTTTATGGGCCCCGCAGATGCAGGAAAATCCGGAAATTAAAGCTTTTTGTGTGTGTGAATCACTCAGGAGTACCTGATCCCCAAGTCTCTGTGTATTACTCCTTCCAAATGAAGACTGGTCTTGAAAAAGCAGATTTGCCAGGTTGAAAATTCCACCATCTAACTAGTCCTGTTACCATTATAATTTAATTCTGTCTCCAATTTTCAACTTTTGCCATCCTCCAGAACAGGGATTTAGAGTTTTTATATATGTTCCCAAAATATACAGACTTTCACATGTAGCTTTATATTTCAGATGGATCTGCAGAATCTCCATTAAGTATGCAGTTCACATAAGTGTGGTTTTTTTCCTAAAGGAGATGAACCAAATTAATTAGATAGAATAGTTAAAAGTAGAATAAATTAGGGCCAAAGGCATATAATTTTTCCCCAACAATGGCAAAAATGTATGCAAACTAAATTTCAGAATATCATTAAATAAACAGACAACTTACAAAGAATACATACATATTATCTGCACTATATCATGTTTCTCAATAAGAGGTTGCATGTTAAAAAAAGTGAACCCAATCTTTTTAGAGTAGCATAGGAATCAAATCACACTGATCTCCAGAGAAAGCAAGTAATTTGAGAACATTTTATGGCTTTACAGTAAAAATACACAGATTTACATTTAAATAAATATTTTATAATTATTTTTAGTTATTACTATAAGTTTGTAGGCAAATTGTGAATAAAATTGATACTATTACTAATGTTACTAAGCTGAAATTAAATATTACCCGCTCAAAAATGTCAAATTATAATTAAATCTGACAGAATTTGAGAGAGGAAATGAAGATAAATAAATGGAGAGAGGGATAGAATAGCTAATGTGTTTGTTCTATGTATTGGGAATCCATGAAGCACAGTTTAAAATGAACAATCAGAAATTAATATTCAGAAGAATTTAAATTATTATTTGAATTTATTATTATTTAAACTATTATTAAAATTAAAATAACAGGCAGGGTGTGGTGGCTCACGCCTATAATCTCAGCACTTTGGGAGGACGAGGCGGGCGTATCACCTGAGGTCAGGAGTTTGAGACCAGCCTGGTCAACCTGGAGAAACCCCGTCTCTCCTAAAAATACAAAAATTAGCCAGGCATAGTGGTGCATGCCTATAATCCCAGCTACTTGGAGGCTGAGGCAGGAAGAATCGCTTGAACCTGGGAGGTGGAGGATGCAGTGAGCCGAGAATGCACCACTGCACTCCAGCCTAGGTGACAGAGAAAGGCTCCATTTCAAAGCATAAAAAAATAAATACATAAATAATGAAATTCAAATAACAAAAATCAGAAAAATAATTTACTATTAAAGGGATAGAAAGGAATTGTGTCAATTAAAAATCATCTTTGATAGTAAGCAATTCATCTTTTAAATAAAACAGTAAATTCCAACTGAACAATTAGCTGTAAAAACATATTTATTAGTTAAATAGGGCCGGGAGCAGTGGTTCATGCCTGTAATCCCAGCACTTTGGGAGGCCAACGTGGGAGAATCACGAGGTTAGGAGATTGAGACCATCCTAGCTAATACAGTGAAACCCCGTCTCTACTAAAAATTAGCCAGGCATGGTGGTACGTGCCTATAGTCCCAGCTACCCAGGAGGCTGAGGCAGGAGAATCTCTTGAACCTGGAAGGTGGCGGTTGCAGTGAGCCGAGATGGCACCGCTACACTCCAGCCTGGGTGATAGAGTGAGGCTCTGTCTCAAAACTTAATAATAATAATAATTAGTTAAATAGAGGAAACAACCATATTTAAAACACAATGTTAAAAAATTATTGTCCCTTAGAAGTAATACTGGAGATCTGCAATGCTTTTTTTATAATAACATATCTGTAGTAATTTTTATTATGTGGACACATTATTAAATAAAAGATAAAGGATTGCAATACCTATCAAAATTATAAAACTTGTCACAAATTTTAATACACAATAGAGAATTTGCCTTAAGGAAATTATTCAGTATAATACAAAAGGTCTATTGCATAAGAATTTTTACTGTAGAGTATGCACAATATTGAAATGTGGTAGAACTCAATAATGAAGAGATAATATGCACAACTATTAATATAACCAATTTTAAAGACAGAAGGAATCAATATCTATGGCTAAAGCTTATTATAAAAAATTATAATTGCATGTATCCTATTTCAATTATGTGCTTAGAAATAATTAGTCTAAGAAGAAAACGTGTTTTGTTGTTGTTCTTCTGTTTGTTTTGTGGGGTTTTTTGTGTTCCAAAACTTTCTATGAGTAACGGTTTTAAAGGAAAGAGACTTTTGACAGAATGATGTTGGGAAATATAATGAGGATGAGAATTTAAAAATTAAGCAGTGGAACCATGCTTGGGGCAATCTAATTTAGTTCAGAATTACATGGGAACAAGCAGAAAGGTGGAAAGACATGGTCCATGTTGCAGAATTTGGTCATAATGAAGAGCAGTCAAGCCACTAAGCTTCCTCAATGTTGTGTCAATCACCAAGTAAAGAAAGAATAAATACCCTCAGCTCTGAGACAAGCAGTGATTTCCTTAAGACCTTTCATGGTAAACTCGTGCTACAAATTCCTAAAAGCAACAGTGACTTCTACTTCTAGCTGATAATTAGGTGGCATTGATTCAGGATCTCTGGGGACCTGGTAAAGCATATGTTGAGCTAACCTACCTATGATTGCTGTCAACAGTTCCAACATCACTAGCAAGGGAAATTCACCAGTCCGTGGTGATCCTATGGTTATGTACTTGCAGTTGATCATGACTTGTGATATACCCTTTATTTTCTTATTGTTGCAATATAACAGAAAAATAACATTAAAAAGTGCAATAAAATGATAATCACAAAACTCACAGTAGAATACAAACATGAGAGCAGCAATGAGAGATATCAGATTATCACAAAAGAGGGACAATGGCTGGTGGTGAAACGCAATGAACCAAATTACCAACTTGCCTCCTCTACTTAATTTAGTTCATCTACTTTAGGGGAAAAAAAAAAAAAAGCACTTATGTGTCCCGCATACTTCATGGAGATTCTGCAGAGCTATCTGAAATACAAAGCCAAATGTGAGTCAGTTAGTATTTGGAGCATATATAAAGACTCTAATTCCCTACCCTGGAGGACAGCAAGAGTTGAAAATTAGAGCCAGAATTAAATTATAATGGTAATAGAGCTACTCAGATGGTGGAATTTTCAACCCTAGAAAATCTACTTTTTCAAGATCAGAATTTTCATTTGGAAGGAGTGAAGCACAGAGACTTGGGGATCAGGTACTCTTGAATGATCCATATACACAAAGAACTTTAATTTCCAGATTTCCCTGTATCTCTGGGGCCCATAAAAGTGTCCCAAGCTTCCCAGTTAAAGGGTACCATTCCCTCTTTTTTGAATATGATTCAAAGATCTTGAAAGAGCTTGTTGAGCTAACCCACCTACGATTGCTGTCAAAGGGTCCAATATCACTACTAGCAAGGGAAATTCACCAGACCATGGTGATTATATAGTTATGTACTTGCAGTTGATCATGAGCATCAGCTGAAAGTTGAAGTAAAGGCAGAAACATGGTCTCATTCTCTCACAGAAAGCAAAAGGGGATATTTGCCAGTATATACCTAAGTGCCGAAGCCAGTCTTTCCCCCACCCTTGCTACTATACAGAATCAAAGCAATTCCATTCCCACTCACCTCCAAAAAAAATCACCTCCAAGAAAACAGTTTCAAATATTTCACTTAGTTACCTTTTTCATAATTTTTAATATGTGTGACAGGGTAAAGACTGCCTTAGCATGCTTATCTTTAAAAGTATTGCTAACATTTATTTGTATTTTATTAAATTTAACTCCCTCTAACATCCCAGGATTTGATCAAACTGAAATGGTTTGCCTAAGTTTGAAGAAAAGACAAAATTGATAGGTTTTATCTGAAAACAGGAATGCATTTTATTAAGTGCAAAGGTGATAATTGTAACATCAATGAACAACACATTAACACAGAAACAAATAACCTTAAGGCTGAATAGAAAGGCATAGTATTTTCAATTCTTATAAAGTTTCTGTTTCAGAGATAGCCATAGGGATGCTTTAATATTCTTCCCAAACATGTACCTTTACCTCTGGGGGGTTCCTGCCTGGTTGGTGATAAAGGTGGCTTGATTCAAGAAGACTTGCAGTACTAATGGTTTTTATAAAATGCATCAACTGTTTAGAAGTCAAAACATAAAAGAGTAGCTTTACCTGTTCTTTGTAAAATAAGAAAAAACTAAAAGTTTATAGTCTATAAAGCAAATTTTCAAACAAAGAAACTTTTATGGCCCATAACGAATATCACTGTCAGTTTAAACCCTTTACTTTTCTTTCTCTAAATATTACTTTCATTAATTATCACCTAGAAACTACTCCAGGCATTTTTCACAGATCCTGTCTCTCCATCTGCTTTGGTTTTATCATCTGTCTGCTGGACACATGATAGATGAATAACACCCTACTACAATACTCTACCAATTATCAAATTATCAAAATTCTTAATTCTCTCATACAGTGAGGGATCTTTTTCTATATAATCTATTATCATGATATTCTCCTCCAAATACAAGACTTTCTCCTCCAAATACAGGTTCAACTTTTTTTCTCCCTTTTCATACCAAAATGCAATTTAAATGAGAAGTCTTTCACAAATCTGTGCTTTTACCTTGCTTTGTATGATAAACAACCTAAAACCAAGTGAAATTAAGAAACTATTTATTCTTCAAAATATGAATGAAATAAAATGTTGACGTCAAGACTGAAACACATTTATTTACAAAAAGCAACAACTCTGAAAATGATTATTTCAAGATGCTAGAGGTAGGAAGTCATGGCCACTATTTTTAAGATTAGGAAGTAAAAGTATAGCTTCACAAAAGATGGCCTCATAAGCATGATTCTGTAAGCTTATCAGCATCTTTCTATTTAGAAATACGCAGTGAATTATTTACCACAAATTGCCTGAAACATGTTACTTGACCATATTTAGCCAGAATTTAAAAGAAGAAACACTGTCAAAATAACCTATCCTTTCCCTAAGACAGAATGACAGATATGAGCGATCAAAGCAATACAATACACATAATCTATATCAACTTTAGAAAGGCTCCTGATGTTGTCCTGCCAACCATAACGTTAAACACCCTGGAAATATATGACCTTGACTCCAAAATTATTGAGAAGGCTGAACAACTGGTTGTTGGTTTTTAATGGATTATGTCAACTGAAGAGGAGAAATGAAAGATGTCTTTAGTGATTCCTTCTCGACTCAGTGATATTTATTGCTGCCATCCATAACCTAGATTGATACTTTCTTTTAGAAAAAAAAAAAAAGCGTCCTTGTTACTCACTTGGGAATCTGGGGACAGTTATTGTCCAATCTGCCATTTACCATTTATCTTTGTCTCTCATACCTCATTCAAACCACACATCTGTCATTCTTTTTCCTTTTATGGCCGTTCTCATTTCCTTATTTACCCTCTTTTAAAACTTAAGCAAAGCACACGAGGAAATATTGTTATTCAGTAACAATCTTTGAAGCACTACAATGTCACATTGTACAGCTTGCAAAATAATAGAAAAGCTAAATAAATAAAAGAATAAAAGAAAAGAAAAGCAATTAATTTTCAAAAATGTCTGTTCTTAAGAACTATATGGGTTCAGGGCCGGGCGCTGTGGCTCACGCCTGTAATCCCAACACTTTGGGAGGCCGAGGTGGGTGGATCACGAGGTCAGGAGACTGAGACCATCCTGGCTAACACAGTAAAACCCCGTCTCTACTAAAAATACAAAAAAAAATTAGCTGGGCGTGGTGGCGGGCGCCTGTAGTCCCAGCTACTCGGGAGGCTGAGGCAGGAGAATGGCGTGAACCCGGGAGGCGGAGCTTGCGGTGAGTCGAGATCGAGCCACCGCACTCCAGCCTGGGTGACACAGCGAGACTCCGTCTAAAAAAAAAAAAAAAACCCGTATGGATTCGTATTTACAACTCAGTTTTTTCAGACTCCTCCCCGGGAGATACTGATTCAATGCTTCTAAGTTGCGACCCGGGATTCCATGCTTCCCACTAGTACTCTGCAACTAGGCATGTTTGGGAAACACTGATTTAAGTAATGTACTCTAAAATGCCCATCAAGTTTCTAAATCAGGATGCAAGTAGAGATAGAATATATGATTAGCATTTGATTCATTACTGGTTTCTTTCACTGAAGTAGTTAAAATTCTATTTACAACATAATCTCCATCTGAGGTATGATGAGTAAAACAGATCTTTTACAGAATGATTACATATGAGCATCATCAAAACTCTTAATATATCATTCAAAGGATCAGAGTTGGTCAGATTTTGGTATAAAATAAAAGTTCAGTCCTAGATGTTATCTATCATAGATTTTTTTTTTTTTTTTTTTTGAAACGGAGTCTCACTCTGTCGTCCAGGCTGGAGTACAGTGGCGCGATCTCAGCTCACTGCAAGCTCCTGGGTTCACGCCATTCTCCTGCCTCAGCCTCCTGAGTAGCTGGGACTACAGGCGCCCGCCACCATGCCCGGCTAATTTTTTTGTATTTTTAGTAGAGACGGGGTTTCACCATGTTAGCCAGGATGGTCTCGATCTCCTGACCTCGTGATCCACCCCTCTCGGCCTCCCAAAGTGCTGGGATTACAGGCATGAGCCGCCGCTCCCGGCCTATCATAGATATTTTTGGCAAGTGAGAAAGGCTATTTCAATGTTACTAATAAAGTGTACACAGAGAAACTCTCAGTTCTGGGTAGAGTACTTCCAGTTAGCATCTTTATCTCTAGAGAATCTTCAACCCCATGTTAGACAATTCATTAATTTGGTTCTTTCACTTTTAATCTGAAAATGTAGTTCCTATTTAGCTTAAGAAGTAGAGGAAAGATAGATAACACGTTGTGCACACACATGAGGTATGAACCAGTAACAGAAAATGACACCTTGAGCTGAACACATGGTGTGAGATGGTGTCCAAATTTCTGCTCTAGCAAGAGTCTAATACTTAGGGGGATATGGGATACATAAACCTTATCCTCGTCTTCAAGTTGCACTTAGCTGGAATTATTCTCACCACTAGTGGACCATTCCTCCTTTCTACTTCTCTTACTTTTTTTTCTTTTCTTCCTCCACCAACTTTTGCTAGTAAGAATTGAATGTGAAAAACCTAATTATGTCTCTTATCTCCCCAAAATCTTCAGTGGAGAATGCAAATGGATAATACAAGTTACGGAGAAATTTATATACTATCTAATGTTACCATTTTATGTATTGTATAATTATCAGCTTGGCCACCAGATTTGTAAAAATGTATAAAAAACAATGTCTAAATTCATGTAGCTGATTTTTTCATTCCCTGCTAGGTATGGGTATGAGAAGTCTTCAGAGCTCAGGATGTCAAAAGAGAGCCTTTCATCTCCAATTGAGTATTTCTGCGTATACATTACTAGTAAGTTTGACATTTATTTTCTTGTCATTTGCTAATCAACTCTGTGATAGATCACATTCATATTGGAAGATCTCATTAAACAATGAAATCTGATGCTGATCAAATTATTAACGATTCCTTAAGATACTATGTTCATTCTTTGTTTCCTTTCTATAAATCTGTTTCTGTAGATATGATGTTAGCATAATCTCTAGAATTTCTGTCCACTTATCTTCATTAGATAAGTTACATGCCTAAGGAGGGTCCTTTTGAAAAGGTCTGAAATAGAACAAAGGTCTGATATTTTACCTTATTTTATTGTTATTACCTAATGGTTTCCAGAGGTCCTAAAGAAGTTAAGATTTTAGGAAAGTTGGGAGAATGTTCCCCATCAGCATCTTATTTTAGAGGTGCTGGCAAAATACAAAAGACTTCCTGGGCAGAGACATAGAATTATGTTACTCACAGCAAAGCAGCAGCATGGCCTCTATTACCTTTATTAGGGAAATAGGAATGAAAATTAAGAAGTAATACCAACATTTTACTTTAAGTATAAAAATTCTGTTTCAGCGTAAGTTATTTTCCTTTTTAATAATTAAGTGATGCTTTATCAATATTAAAGTACTGTTGTATCTTCTTATACTGGAGTACATGTTGACACATAAATTTAAAAAGTTGGTATACCTCAACTTTAATTGTGCTTGTTATGGGAAAGAGTCCTTTGGTGACGTTCAGGATGCTGAAGATCATAAGTTGCCAAACACCCTATAGAAGAAAGTTCCTCAAAATCATTGAAAACATACTTCACTTATACTGAAGTTATCAGAATTCCCTTTCATTTCAGGATAGCTGCTTCAGAGTGTAGAGGGCATTTTAATTTGGGATGCAATATTCTATTACTGACCGAAAACATTGGATGTATTGTGACCTAGATGAGAAATGTTTGAAATCTATTTGGGGAATTCATCACTGGCCACATTTTGGGCCAACAAAATCTTACAAATTTCCTCGTGCTTCTCTGGTTTGTCTATTACGTCCAGTGACAGAGACACTGAATGTTTTTACCTTCTCAAGATAAGTAATGCATTACTCTTTATATGATTTCATACAATTTTCTTAATAATTCCATGAGAAAAGTTACTGTTATCTTCATTGTTCATAAAAAGGCATCCCTTAGGAGAAATACATACTACAATATAGAGAGAATTACTATTATAACCCTATTATTTGTATGAGAATGGGAAATACGGGCTGATATCATGTAGACAAATCTTTCAAGCTAGGTATGTAGGTCACCGCTTTTCCCACTTTAAGAGCAATTGTGTAATGCTACTGCAAGAATTCTAAATACCATCCTAAAGTAGTTAAAGATATAAGAAGAAATATGTAGTTTTAACTTTAAGTACTAAACATCATAAAGGTACAGAAAATTGTAAAGACAGGAGAAAAAAATTATATGTTATATTTAAATGATATATTTATGTGTTACCTAAATCATTAATCAAATGTAATAGAATGACTAAGTATTTCTAATATTGAGACTTTACAGCATTTTATTTTGATGACAATTGATAACTCACGAAGTTGCAAAATGTATAACAAAAGATACATGTGACAGGAAGTAAAAACGCCTGGTTTCTATATGTAAATATTTCATGAACTTTCTGGATGCTAGTTTCTTCATCTGTTAAATAAAGAGATTGGATCAAATCATGCATAAGATATTTTTTGGATGAACACATTATGATTCTGTGTTTGATACATATGAAAACACTCTGAACCAAAATATTTATTTGAACAAATATTTTGAAATACTTGCTGCGCGCGGTGGCTCACGCCTGTAATCCAAGCACTTTGGGATGCCAAGACGGGCGGATCACAAGGTCAGGAGATCAAGAACATCCTGGCTAACACGGTGAAACCCCGTCTCTACTAAAAATACAAAAAATTAGCCCGGCATGGTGGCGGGCGCCTGTAGTCCCAGCTACTCGGGAGGCTGAGGCAGGAGATTAGCGTGAACCTGGGAGGCGGAGCTTGCAGTGAGCCTAGATCACGCCACTGCACTACAGCCTGGGCAACAGAGCAAGACTCCGTCTCAAAAAAAAAAAAAAGAAATGCTTGATGAAGATAAGGTCAGTAAGCTTACATGTAAATTGTCATCAATATTTTAAAAGATATTTTATATTTAGAAATTTTATTAATGTTAACTAATTAAAATACGTCTAGTGGTGGTATAATTTCTTTGTAAAACAGAACATTTCTTTGATGTATAATTAAATATTTAGCCCTGAATAGGTCTAATTTAAGCAAATGTTTTATAAAACTTTTGTACTCTAGTTCTAAAAGGCTATTAACATTTTACACATATAAAATGAAAACAATTACTAAATAGCTAATTTTGATTAGTTTCAGAGTTTAGTTAATGCTTATTTTAAAAATTTGTTACTTGCAAAATTAAGAAGTTCTAATTAAATGGAAAATTAAGATTACATTACTATGTACATTACATTCACAGAGAATGTCAATGTCATTTTAAGAACTATGTAGTTATTTAAATAAAAAACTGCTTACAACTTTATCATAATATGTTACTTCTTATTCACAGTGTATTAAAGCTATTATAAAACGTGACAAAGTGTATATGCCTTCTTTCTCACAATTTAAGCTTGTACCAAAGAGATGTAAAGAATTTTTAAAATATTGTACATATGAATTTAGTAATTTTGTTGCCTGAGCCTCATACCAAAGTTTCACTGATATTTCTCATTCTTTTGAACTCTGAATGTAATAAATTAAAGGTTAAAATACTGTAAATTTTTTTACCAATGAATCAACAATACTATTTTCATTACCTTGCCTATGTTGTCAACAGAAGTAACAAAGATGTGCATGTTTAAACATCGTAAATATATTTTAAACTAACATTACATTTAATTGAAAGGAAAAACACTACTATTATCAATTGTTATATTTAATAATTCTATGAAATATAATTAATATTAGATATGTTTATTCAAAGCAAATACTTTTCTCTTAGTTATTATTCTTTCCTTGTATCTAGCAAAATTCCTAAACAGTGGATGCTCAAAATATTTCTTGAGAAAATAACTGGATTAATCATTATTATTTTATCCTCATGATATAAAAGAGACCACTGTACCCATTAAAAAGGCACTTTGAGTGTTTCCATCAGTCTATGTTCCAAAATTAAAGACAACATTTATTAATCATTTATTAATCTTGATTCCTTAGCTTAATTCTTGGTCAATAGTTTTGTAGTCTTAGGGCAAAGGGTTATAGTTCAAAAAGTGAGTTACAAAATAACCAAATCATTGGCTATTTATACAAGCAAATTGCCACTCTTATAAAACCATGCTATTATTCTTCAAGGGAGGTTCTGAAAACATTGGAAAAAGCTTAGTGTGGAAACCTGACAGTCACTTAAATAAATATGACATGAAGGACCTGTGGATTTGTTTTTTCTGTTGAGATAATGTATGTAAAGTTTCTTTTCTTTTTTTTTTTTTTTTTGAGATGGAGTCTCGCACTGTCACCCAGGCTGGAGTGCAGTGGCTCCATCTCGGCTCACTGCAACCTCCGCCTCCCTGGTTCAAGTGATTCACCTGTCTCAGCCTCCCGAATAGCTGGAATTACAGGTGCCTCCCACCATGCCCAAATAATTTTTTTGTATTTTTAGTATAAATGGGGTTTCACTATTTTGGCCAGGCTGGTCTTGAACTCCTGACCTTGTGATCCACCCGCCTCGGCCTCCCACAATGCTGGGATTACAGGCGTGAGCCACCATGCCCAACCTAATGTATCTAAATTTTCTATCAAAGAACATACAATAAAAAGCAATATTAACCTGCAAGACCCTTAACAAAATGTGAAAGGAATCATTATTATGGAATTATTTAAAAATTATCAGAAAAATTGATGAAGAAAAAATCAATTAATTAAAAACATAGTCACAAATTAAATTACCTTGTTTTTTACTTCCTTTTTAGTTGGATGTGAATAAATCAAAGATACGTCTGGAAACTAATGAGAGTGACTTTGAAATTTGGTGGTATTCCAGGGAGGAATACTTTATTTGAATTTCATATAACAAGGCATTATTGAAAATAGTTGTGTTCAAACAAAACATAGTAATTTATAAATGTGACCAACAGATTCACTCTTCTTGGAATCACACTGATTAGAGGGTTACACATACACACACATACATGCAAAAATTATTTATTCCTTGGGAGCACCATTGTCCTTGTCTCTAAATTTCAGGTCCCACATTTTTGACATCAGTTACTGCAGCCAACTACCGACATAATCAATGTTTACACTTCTCAAAAGAGGTGCCAGATTTTATACTGTATAATTACTTTGATTATAAGATAGCCTACAGTTATCAAGCACATATATGTGCTTGATATGTTCTATGTTCTGACAATAAAGGTAATATATACTAGTGATCTTTAATGAAAAGTGCTTTCTTCTTTTTATTATATATTTTTTGAGTTATCGAGATAGTTCCCAATGTTTCCTCTTCACTGAAAAATGTGCTACTATCCACAGATACCCATGCCAATCATAATTATATGTCATATCCTAATTCATCTAGGCATAGTGAATCAGAACAGATGGACATATGACCACATCTGAAGCTGTAGGTCACTTGTAACTTGAATAAAAACTGAGATGGAGCAAACTCTTATCTCTAATGTTATCTTGCATGGCGAAAGCAAAGATTCTTAAGCTATGTATCATTCCTTTCAGCTAACCATGTGTATCGACAAGCAGATATGATGTGATGCATGACAGAAATTGTGTTTTCAAATTTTATAGATGATATGGTTTGGCTCTGTGTCCCCACCCAAATCTCATCTTGTAAAGCCCATAATTCTCATGTGTTGTGGGAGGGACCTGGCAGGAGATATTGAATCTGGGGGCGGTTCCTTCCCATGCTGTTCTCCTGTTGGTGAATGGGCCTCATGAGATCTGATGCCTTTACAAACTGGAGTTTCTCTGCATAAACTCTCTTTGCCTGCTGCCATCCACATGAGATGTGACTTGCTCATCCTTGCCTTCTGCCATGATTGTGAGGCCTCCCCAGCCATGTGGAACTGAGACCAATTAAACCTCTTTCTTTTGTAAATTGCCCAGTGCCTCTAGTATGTCTTTATCAGCAGCGTGAAAATGGACTAATAGAATAGATTAAAATCTATTTTGAAGATTTCAAATAATCTGTTTGTCATAGGTAGTTTTAGAAATTCAGAGAACTACTGGATTTTTGTTGGACCAGTATACAGTGGGGGAGTGATTTTTAAAAGTCAACTCACTTGGGTGAATTAGGAAAGTTATTAGAATTGAAAATATATAATGTATGTGGTCCATCATGTCTCAAATCACAAACTCTTATGCATTCAAGAACAAAGATTATTTTTTAATCCATACTTCCACCAAGATTCTTTCCCTTGTTCTCCTACCAACACCCACACCCTCTCATACTAACTCAGCCCGTAAAAGAGGGGCTACATAGATACAAATGGATTCATAGCTTTTCGTTATATATAATTGCCAGTATTATTGGAGGTGGTCTATGAATTAGAGGGTATAATGTGGCTTTATCCCTGAGTCTGTGAGAACAGAAAAGGTAAACTATTAGTTCATGCTCATAAATTAAGCAATTCTGGCAATAAGAATCAAATAGCAGGAATCAGTATTCTTGGATTTATCTGTGACAGGTAATAATAATAGCAATGAAACAACCCTGGGATCCTAACAGTAAATAAGGAAGACAACATTTAGAAGACGCTAAGTATCTTTAGAGGTAAACTTAATCTAAATGAAACATTTGGAGTTGCTTTAGTTTGAGAAAAAGTCTATCAAAGTTGACGAAACCAAAAATTATTGCTTATAATATCCTCTCAAGCTACTTTTCTAGACAGGGGGCAAAATAGTTGAGTTAGATGAGTTGCTTATCTATGGAAGTGATCATTTTAGTCAGAAATTTAAAGTCAATTTTTTAGTCAACACAGATGATGTATCTTTAAACATGAAAGCAAGGAATACACCCATGAAATTATAGTCACTTTTACACCCTCTGGTTCTGAAATATGTTATGTAGATAGTGCATTTATATACTCCTCAATTGTATTATTCAGCTAATATCTTCCATTAAAAGCAGAAAATCTAATGTAAACAGGAAAATACACATTTGTTAGGTGAAGGTTGATCTGCTAATATACAGGTGAAGACTGCATTTAAAACATATGCTTATGTCAAGTCGCTTTTTAGCAATTCGTATGGTTCCTGCTCAAATTGGCAATGTCCGTAACATGACCTAATTGGTACTTTAAATTTATATCCAACTTAATCCAACACGGGCATCTGTGCTAGCTTAAGCAGTATTATAAAATTATTTCTGGATTATATTTTCCCATGCCTGGTTTAAATCTAAGAACCATTATACCAGTGTTCTCTATACAACAGTAATTCTGATAAACTCTCAGCACCTAATAAATCCCACACAGTTATAGGATAAAATGGATCTTGCAAAAAAGATTCAAATAACAACAGCTGCAGACAAGCTGTGCATCTGGCACATTCTGGCTCTTGTTATAACCACACAGGGCAAGTGACAATTGCTTTCCTTAATCCTGTGATTGTGTTCTGTACAACTTGAATTATTTTTCATAAGTCATGGACCTCCTACAGGCATCTAAGTCACAAATTTTATCTTTCATTGCATTACATCATCGTATTGTAGCAGCATTCTATAGCAGTATAAACTTATATTTTATATTCACGTAATACTGATATGCACTTAATACCGATAGAAACTACTTGTAGCAGTAATAGGTTAAGGCAGGCAAATATGAATTATTTGAGGCATAACAGCCACTTTCAATTTTATAAGTGACAATTTTTTTTTGTTAGCATCAATTCAGCAAATATTCATCATGGCCTACCTACACTGTGTAAAAAAGAAACGTGTAATCCCAGTATTCACGGAGACAAAAATTATACACAAAATACTTGACTATGATTCAAACAGAAGTGTTAAAATATTTAGTGCAGATTTTAAGTTTTATAGGTCTTCTAAAATGACATGACTAAGGGTGTTTATAAGGTCAATTCACCCGCCTTATGGTGACATTCTCTTAGCCAGTAGCAATTATGGAGCTCTTACACTTTACCAGACACCAGACACTACAAATTAGCTCATTTAATTCTCCAAAAAAATTCTGTGAGTCATTTATTATTATTAAGCATCAGATCACAAGTGAAAACATATCTTGAGGAGCTTTAGTATGTCTCATATCATTTATTGCACTAAATGGCAGAGATAATTCAAACAGAGAAGAATTCCATGACTTCAGAGTTCATTTTCTTAAGCCTTTCACCATCCTTATTAACAAAGTGCTAATGTGCAGGGTATTATTATTTTTAAATTTCCTAATGTTAATAGACAAAATATCCTACATTCTAAGAATCTGAGTTAAAGTTTTCCATATTCAGTATGCAAAAAAATAACTTTTCTCAACTTTCAAATTCAGGGCAGTGAAACAAAACACCTATTTCAATTCCACCTACTTCTAAATGGAACTAAATATTTATTATCAGAGAGGAAATCTCTAGCTGTATGTAAATTGTGCCTTGAGATTCTCTTCTTAAAAATGTCTTATAAATCTCAACAAATGACATGAATTTTTAATCCTTTTTTGAGACTTTTTGGCAGGGTATACATATCTTGGCACTATAACGATTTTCAGTGTCTCTTTCTCCATCTCTTTTCTGTGGTGTCTCTCTTACTAAACTTAACACCACATCCATGTAGGAGTGAGTAGGCAGAATGGGAGGGATTAGAAAATAAATACAAAGGTAAACACAATTAGTTATTGACAGAATTATTCGTCTAAATTAGTCTAAAATATTGCCTAAATATTATATTTAAGGCAGCATTTTGGAGAGAAAAAATAGTAATTCTATGGGGACTGAGGAGTATAGGGAAAGAAAGAGACGGAGAATGGGGAGAGAGAGACACACATAGAAAGACAGAGATAGAGAGATTGAAAGAGAACAAGAGAGAATAGCAATATGTTGATTTCTGATGTAAATCTCTATAGCCTAAATCTTGGCATCTTTATAAGAAATGAGTTCTAGGAGTCTGGAGAGGCACATCTCTTAGGGAACAGATCAGAACCTTCACCCCTTGAAGAAGGGACTAATTCAAATGACACAGATCCTTTTGAAACTACTATTATACAAGTGGTTGCCATCTTCACCTTTAGTGGCCTAAGTAATCCACTATCACTACTACTAATATCTGCTTGTCATGTCATCCAGGTGGTTATATGGAAAACTTCTTTTAGCATTTCTGTGCCTCCATCAAGCAATATGGTCTCAATGAGGTGAAATCTTAATTAACAAAAAAACTCATTTACTTATTTTTATTTTTTATCTAATTAGTGCTCAATATGAGCTTGAATGTGCTCTCTTTCCCCCAGCTGAATACACAGGTTACTTGTTTTTTCACAAAGAGAAACTAGTCAAAGTTGGATATTTAAAAGAGCCCTTATTTGAAGGGCCAGGCTGCTTTTTCTTCCTGAAAAAAATTAACTTACTGAACTTTGATATTAGACAAATTATTAAGCGAATTCTACCTATACTTCTTCCCATTAACTGCACAAGGCATATCTAGGCAGAAAACAAATGCATGAGACTGAAAGGCAGCAAGTCTGTTGGAAGATTTTCTTTTTCTTTGTATTTTATCTGAGTTAACTGAGTGAGTCCAATAAAATTTTTCAGGCAATCATTTCTGAATTATTATCTGCTACTAACCGTACCCCAGGGACACATACACCAACAGAAATACAGGTGGCTGTGGAGCACTTCACTTAATTGGACAAATGTTATGTGCTAACATTAAGCTTTAGTATGACAAAGATTGTTTTGGCAATTCAGACAATATAAGACTTTTCACTAACAGGTAAGTAAATAACTGTCTGAATTACATTCCTCATGTTCTTTAGGATGGTTCCAGGCAAAGATGTGAATTAAAAGTCTGTCTTAGCAGTTTTCACCTCACCACCTATGAAATTCTTCTTGGGAGAAAAGACATGAAATGATTGTTAACAAATGAGCATGATTGGAAATCAGTGTGTTACTTCTTCAAATATATTGTTAACCTTGCTTGCAGTTATAAAATAAACGGCTGTGTTCATTTAAAATCTTTGTGCTTCAGAATCAGGTGCTTAAACATTTAGCTGGCATGGATGCCTTTCATCCGTTCTCTATGCCTCCAGCTTCTGCCTCTGCCTTGGCCATTCCACAGAATAACTGCTCAGCACATAAGGCAAAGGTGGGAAAGTGAGGGAATGCTGCAGAGATGTTAGAGAAAAGAGATAGGGAAGAAAGAAAAGGGTTAACTGGGCATTGCAGAACTCCTCCTGGGAAGGTAGATAACCTTAGCTATAGCCCTCCTGCATTCATCTTTCATTTGGGGAATATCACTGATGTTTAGATTTATGTTGTGTTCCTTGATTGACATATTGACCCTACTTTATTTCAGAGCATGTATAGTATGTTACTGCAATATGTAGTTCTTATTTTATACTTTTCTTTCTGAATTACAAATTATCATAACATTTACAAAGGCAGAATTTTTATGAAAAGATAAATAATATACACATTTTACTTTTCTGAAATCATAGGAGTATATAAATGTTTAATAAGTTTTATATCATCATGAGTAATTTATTGCAATATAAAATACAAACTGAAAAGTGTCAATTGAAACTAGATTTGAAAAACAAATATCAAAGGATCTAAGGTTGATCTATGGCCCATCTCTGACTAAAGGAGGAAAAAACCCTCTTACAATGCACCAGAGGTTTATATTTCACAAACTTTTTTAAAAGCTGAGATAACAAATAAAGTTCAACCAGAAAATGCAAAAATAATTAATTAATTTTGTTTTTTATAAGGAATCTAGGCCACTTTCACCACTCCTCCCCAACCCATCCCCAGACTAAATTTCTCATCCTGCACTGAATCACCTCCAAACATCACAGTGCTGAATAGCCCTTTTTATATTCATTAAATTGATAGGTTTTGGTGTCAGTCGTTTTTACTAGTTCCTTAGCCCCTGATAGAAAGAAAAAGTCGTGTTCAATATTTTATGACGATTGATGAGGATATCACTTCAACCTTAGTAATGATAGCAGCAGGAGGCAGACAAATTCCTAGGCAGAAAGGGGTGGGTTCCCAGTGAAACCTTCAAGCCAAAGGCAGTTTTAAACCCTGAAAACCATGGCCGAGTGCGGTGGCTCACGCCTGTAATACCAGCACTTTGGGAGGCTGAGGCAGGTGGATCACGAGGTCAGGAGATTGAGACCATCCTGGCTAACATGGTGAAACCCCGTCTCTACTAAAAATACAAAAAATTAGCCGGGCGTGGTGGCGGGGGCCTGCAGTTCCAGCTACTCAGGAGGCTGAGGCAGGAGAATGGCGTGAACCCAGGAGGCAGAGCTTGCAGTGAGCCGAGATCACGCCACTGCACTCCAGGCTGGGCGACAGAGCAAGACTCCGTCTCAAAAAAAAAAAAAAAAAAAAAAAAAAACCTGAAAACAAAATAGCCTGTTCACATACTTCCTTCATGCCTTTTAGCCAATCAAATGATGCTTTTTCCAGGCCTGCCAATGGACCAATCAGCATGCACGTTCCCGTTCTGAGCACGTAAAAACCTTGGACTCAGCCACAACTGGGGACTACCCGCCTTCTGGTAGGGGCTACCCACCTCAGATCCCCTCTCCACTGAGAGCTTTTCTATCACTCAATAAAACTCCTCTCCACCTTGCTACCTCTCTGGTTGTCTGCCTAACCTCATTCTTCTTGGATGCAAAACAAGAACATGGAACCTGAACAGTGGGTGTGAAAGGAGTTGTAATACTGCAGCCCTCTTGTCTTCCACCCACACTGGGTGGCCTCCTCACATAATGGGAGATGACAGTGGGGCCAGGCTAGCCCAGGAGCCACAGGCCAGAGCGAGGCAACAGGAACAAACAAGCTGGAACATACTCCCTTTCTCCAAAGTGTGTGGACAGGAGGGAATAAATGAGCTGTAACACAAATGAACCATAACACTTCCTGGGGGCCCAGACCTTGGGGGTCCCCGAGCCAGAGCTGTAGCATCCCCTTTGGGACTCCATGGTTTCTGGCATCTCTGAATTTTCAAGTGCTGTGGTGTTCCCCTTGTCCATATGCCATCGCCCACGGCGGAATCCGCTTAAGGTATGCATGGTCCAGCCACTGCCTTACATGGAGCTTGTGTCTGTGCTGGCACCTGGAATTTCCCTACCTACCCTCTGAGAAGCCAGCATGCCTGGCTGTGTGCTGTGGCTGAACCTCATGTGTGCTCACTCACACACCCCTTAATGCTCCATGCCCAGCTCGCATGTGATAGGCCTGAGATCTGGGCTGGTAGTGCAAGCTGAGCACAGCCTTCCAGGCCAAGTATGTAGAGCCAGCCCAGTGGTCTTAGAGCAAAAGTTGAGCAGAGACCCTGCTGGTAAAGTGGCACTGAAAGGATCCTGTCAGTAGGTATTAGTTAATCTACATTAAATAGCAGATAATATATTTTCTGAGTCTGATGAACAGTTAGTCAATGGAATCCGTGAATGAGAGCTACAGTAACTAGCAACAGCTTCGGCTGCGCTTTCTAGAAATAATACTACCACTGTGTTGATGACCTCCAGCTAGACTACTGGGTATGTACCAGTAGTCAGTAGACACAGTTGGATTTTTGTCATCTCAGAGAAGGATATCTCTCATGTGAGACATGAGTTAGGTGATTAGGCTTGTGTTAGGTGATTTTACAGAAGGTTCAGGGAGTAGAGCTTTGTTCTGGATGTGTTGCTGTCAAGAAACAGCTAATTCCTCCGTTAGTGTCTATATGAATCTTATCTAGAAGAAAGGCTTAATCTATAATTGATAAGAAAGCACGAGTTGTGCATATTAGTCAACGACAAATGAATAGTTGATCATTTGTATGGTGTACGTATAGACCTTGTCCTTTCTTCTCAAACAAGATTAAAGACTGAAATTTTTAAAAAATCTTGCCTTGGTATCAATTTATCTGATGTTGTTCTATGAGATTAATTATGTTCAATAAGAGAAACTCTTAGGCTAGATTTCGGTGCAAGGCCAGTTCCTTAGAACACTGAAGCTGAGCTGTGTTTCCCAGAATTTAGAATATGCTAATCTCTTCTTTAATAAATATTCTTATGAATTCCGTAAAATATTTTAAAGAAAATAAAATAATGAACCCCTTTGTGTTTGAATTATAAAGCAGAGTTTGAATTAACTTGGGCAAATTTTGTAGTTAGTAAGTGGCAGATCTTAAATTTTAAGCCTTATATTCTTACTCAAGAGCCACATAAATGTGTTTTTATCTGTCAATTGAAGCTGTTTAATACAATAGAGTGACAAGCCACATGGAACTATATGAATTTAAAATTGAATTAATTAAAATTAAAAACAATTTTGCTTAGAAGCAACAACACCTCAGTGACAATGAGCATACCTATTTTCTGTATTTTAAGCCTTAACACTGTTCTCCAATAAGAGAAACCAGAGCTTCTTGAATAAATAGCTGAGGCTAAGGCTGGTACAGGAAGTGTAGAAAGAAAACGACTGGGCTATGTCAAAGGGACACGTAATTCAACTGAAAGTTCCCCCAAGTCTGAAATTAGAAAAACGTTAGCAACAAAATAAACTAAACATTTTTGGATTATAACCCACAGTATAAAATAAATAACCATAGGTCTATACTGATACAAATAAACAATTAAATAAATGAATGGGGGATAATACACAAATCTACCATGCAGAAAAATTACAGATAATTTGTTTAGCTACTTCCCCCTCAAGGAAGTTGAGTGCAAATCCATATTTCTTAAGTGAGTGTTGTACATAGTGACAGTCTTCCAAAGAGTACTGTATCTAAATACAGGAAAAAAGAGTAATTTTCCATTGGTGAAATCTAACAAACACTGCCTCAGCCAGCTCATAATGTTTAACATGAACAATGCTAAGTCATGTTGATAGTAGGTACCCTTAATGTGTTGTGATGAGAATGGTATATTACCTCAGGGGTCTTTCTTTTCACAGTTCATAACCTCATTCAAATTTGTGTAAGCATCAGAAAAATCCTAATAGAGGAACATGCTATGAAATACCAGATTACCAGTACTCCTCAAACTGTTCAGGTAATCAGTCAAAAACAAGAAAAGTCTGAGAAACTGTCACAGCCAAGTGGAACGTAAGGAAACACAACAGTATAATGTGGTATCTTGTATAGAATTCTTGAACTAGCAAAAGACATTAGGTAAACAATTAGGAAACATGAATAAATTGTGAACTTAAGTTAATAATAATATAGTAGTATAACCTCATTAAATATAATAAATTTACCCTACCAAAGTGAGATGTTATTACTAAGGAAAACTGAGTGTAAGGTATATGAGAACTCTGAACTATCCTTACTTTTTCTTTCTGAAAGTCTACAACCATTTTAAAATAAAGTTTATTAAAAATTAAAATATTATTAGAACTCAGTTTCCCAATTATACTAGCCACAGTTCATGTGCTCAGAATCTACACAGAGCTTGAGACTACTCTATGGACTGCCCAGATATAAAACATGTGCTTTGTTACATAAAGCCCTGAGGGCAGATTATTTTTCAGTTTACTTCTTTCCTCCTTTCACTAATTTGACTTCTATATCAAAATTTATAATTCTAGATCTAGGGATAAAAATAGTAGAAGATATATACCTGATCTTCCTTTGTTCTTTCTACATTTCAGGCATTCACATTTATAAAATTCATTTAGAATTTTGAATATCTGCTCTTTTGCAGTCATTGTCTCAACAGTTTTAAAAAAGACATTTTATGTAAAACAAATATTATAAATAGACAACCCCCAAATCTGAATAAGTATCTTCCCATTGGTCTGTTAGGAATTTGGTAAGATACTATATTTTTCGAAAGGTTATGTAGCTAGCCTCTGGGAATTTTTATCACAGAACAGCAAATCTTCATCTAAAAATCTTCATTCTGACTACAATGGTGCTAATTATGTTTTTTATAGAAACATGTTTTCTATTTAAACTTAAAATATTGAATTATTTGTAACACAAACACAAATAGACATAATTATTTTTAATGTATACAATTTGGATGTCATGTACCTACTACAATTGAAACCCAGGGCTCACATTGTTTCTGAAAATATATATTTTTTGGAGGAAAAATTTTTTTCATCCTTAAGCTAGTAATAAAAACAAAGAAATAAAAAACGCAGAAGTTTATAGGTTTAATTTGTGTATTTATAAATCAGTATAAATCAGAAGAAATTTTTAGTTCATAATTAATTTAGTGAAAAACAAACAAAAATATTCATTCAATCTGTAGAAAACACAGCATCCTTGATTAAGGTATTATAGGTAAAAATAAGCTACTCTTTAAGACTATGACTCATTTCACACATGAAATTTTCCTTAGGAATAATTGTAACATTTATTTTGTTTCACAGAAGTTCACACAGTTACATGACAGCTTCCTAATAATTGAGAGTGTACACATGTGATGATATTCATGAAATTAGAGCAATGGATTCAAAAATTAAAGTAACTATTATTTTCTTATATTAAAAAAGACTTCTGAGTAAAATACTGGCTTGTAACTTATAAAGAGTATTATATCACCAAAATTTTACATGCAGGTATTTTATGTTGACTCTGGGGCTCCCATTTGCTGAAAAACATAAGATATTTATGGATTTTTTTAATACAAGATTGAGCTTAATTGGGTCTTTATTATGACACATACTAATATATGCCTGTCTGGTGAAATTTTGCAGCTTGCCTCATAATACCATGTATGAGATTTACTGACAAGGTTCCTAGGACAAAGCTTATATTAAAGCAAAAATTAAGCACATATAATTTAATCCAGTGACAATGCCATAGCCCTCACAGAAGAAACATTTTCACACAAAGTGACACATGCCACTCAAAAATATTCCAGCCTACCTCCCTAAACTAGTGAACAGATCCCAAAGAAGGGACTATAAATAAAATTAGAAAAAGCTGTTTTACTTCAGCTCTCTAAGATGCTGGTAGGATGAGGACTAGTTTTGATATTTCTCCAAGTAGATAATACATCACAAAAACTCAGGAAAATATATTATTTTTGGATTTCAAGATTCCAGTTCACTGCTAGTGGTATTCAGGGTTGCTGATGAAAAGTAGCAGTGTGTATGAGAGTTAAGGATGGCAAAAGATGGGGGAGAACCAATAGTGGCACCTGGTAGGCCTAGTGATGTAGGTGGTAATATGTTGTGGGGGCTTATATAAAACACACCCTGGGAAAATCTGAAAATATTTGAAGGAGTCTTTGAAATGGTAGAAAGCCCATAAATCAAATAAATATTACTCAATGTATTATTTTGTGTTCCTTCAAGGTGGTAAGATAAGCAAAAACTAGTATTACATAAACATAAGATAACATAGGATGGTTGTATTTTGAACCCAAATTTACTGAAGACATCTTATCACTTAGAATGCAATAGAGCTGATTTTATGGGCTTTTAACTTATAAACAGTTAATTTGTGATTAAACATGTATTTTTATTTTCACTACTTAACAATTTCCAAAAGGACAGAAGGATACAGTGTTCTGTAACTCTCAATACACTTTATGTTCTCCCCAGGAGGTTTGTTTTGCTACTCTTTGTATACACACTGAGGTAAAGATCAGTTACTTTGTTGTCAGTTCAATGAAATAAATATGAAATCAGCAGCAGGATCTAATGTTCTAAGTGGCCCCATTGTGCCTTTAGTTCAAAATGTTCTAATGAGATAAAATATATTCCACCTTTTCTTTTTGTTTAGTAAAAATATATGCCTTCCCTGTCAGAGCCTTGCAGAGGAAATGAAATCATTGACATAATGTACTGTGGCTCAACCTGACACCACAGTACTTAAAATTGTGTTTTTAGTTTTCTCTCTTACTTTGTATGACTTGAAAATTTTCATTCTCAATTTCCTGCACACATTGGGAGTGTGGAAAATAAAGATTGCTATAACACTGTGCTCATTTTCATTATCACAAGAGACAGTCAACTGTGTTTAAACGTCCCTTTCTACATTACATCCTTTACTGTCGAGGATCCCTACCATGCTTCAGGGTAACTTTTTCAGTGAGGGTAATCAAATAAAGCAGCAACTACTCTGCGGATGGAAATATGAGTATATAATCAAAAGATCAACAGTAGAATGATACAGACCTATTTTAGCAGGTGATTTATACATAGCAAATTGTTGTAGGTCTTTAAGAAGCAGATCTAAAAATTAATGTGGTTTTGTTTCCAATGGAGGGTGTCCAGATTCTTAGCGTTTTGAACAAAGTATTGGACAAGACACAAAGCAATGAAAGAAAAGCACAGATTTGTTGAAATGAAAGTTCACTCCACAGAGTCGTAGCACACTCAAGCAAGATGCTCAAGAGCACTGATTACAGAGTTTTCTGGGGTTTAAATATTCTGCAGAGGTTTCCCGTTGGTTACTTGTTTTAACTCTATATAAATGAAGGAGTGGCCAACAACCAGTCTGATTGGTTGCAGAAGATGACCAATCTGAGGCTGACGTGAAGTAACAGAGTTCCATCCTATGCAAACATCTGATTGGTTTTAAAAGGGGTCAAATCAGAGGCTAAAGTGAAGTTACAAAGTTACACATGAAGACTTGGCCCACGACCAGTCTGATTGGTTGTGGGAGGCGACCAAACAGAGGTACTTTCCATTTTTCCTCTGGCATGTAGTGCAGAGAGAGTAGCCTCTGATCCTTTTCTTACTTGGGTGTGAAGAGGTGGGGTTTTCCTTTTGATTCAGTTCTAGGAAGTCAGCACAAGTCAGTCTTAGGTTCCCTGCCTCCACACACTATTCTCATGCCTCAATTTCAGTAGCTGCCCCATAAACCCAAGATTTAAAAAAAAATTAACAAAAAAGTTAGCATTGATACTCAAGATATTTCCATGTGTGTCACTTGCTAAAATGTCCAAAGAACATGTGTTAAACATTTTTTTTTTTAAATTTAGAACCCTACTGAACTTCTTGTATTAAAAATTTTGCTACAGAAATTTCAAAATACAATTGGAAGCCTTAACAATAGACTAGACCAAGCAGAAGGAATAATCTCAGAGCTCAAAGACTAGTTCTTTAAATCAATTAAATCAGACAAAAAATAAAGAGAAAAAAGAATTTTTAAAAAATGAGCAAAAGCTCTATGAAATGTGGGATTACATAAAGTGAACAAACCTACAACTCATTGGCATTCCAGAGAGAGAAGGGAAAAGACATAGCAATTTCAAAAACATATTTGTGGATATAGTCCACAAAAAATTGTCCAATCTCAATAGAGAGGTCAAGATTCAAGAAATTTACAGAACCCCTGTGAGATACTCTACAAATGACCACCTCCAAGACACAAAGTTACCATAGTTACCACTCTTTCCAAGACCAATACAAAAGAAAAAAAAATCTTAAAGACAGGTAGAGAAAAAGGCCAGGACACACATGAAGAAAATCCCATCAGGCTACCATCAGAATTTTCAGCAGTAACCTTCCTTACAAGCCAGAAGGGATTGAAGGCCTATTTTCAGCATTCTTAAAGAAAAGTAGTTCCAACCAAGAATGTCAGATTCTGCCAAACTACATTTCATGAACAAAGAAGAAATAAAATCTTTTCCAGATGATAAAATGAGAGGAGAATTTGTTACCATTAGACCAGCCTTACAAAAGGTTTTTAGGAGAGTGCTAAACATGGAAATGAAAGAATGATTTCCACTACAAAAAAAGAAACACACTTAAATACATATTCTACAGACCCTATAAAGCAACTACACAATAGAGTCTACAAAACAACCAGCTAACAACATGATGACAGGATCAAAACTTAATATATTATTGTCAACCCCGAATATAATACCAACCTTAAATATAAATAGTCTAAACACCCTATTAAAAAGTCATAGAGTGACGAGTTGGATAGAAAAAGCAAGACTCAACTATCTGCTGTCTTTGAGACCAATCTCATATGTAACAACACCCCCAAGCATGAAGTAAAGGGATCCAGAAAGATCTGGTTTCCATTTCCATGCAAATGGAAAACAAAAAAGAGCAGAAGTCACTAATCTTATATCAGATAAAACAGACTTTAAATTAACAACAGTAAAAGAGGATCCAGTAAGCCATTATATAATAAAGAGTTTATAGTTCAACAAGAAGACTTAAATATCCGAAATATATGTATGCATCCAACATTGGAATGCTCGAATTCATAGAACAAGTACTTCTAGACCTACAAAAAGACATATAGCTCCACAATAACAGTGTGGGAATTCAATATCCCACTGAAAGCATTAGTTTATCAAGGCAAAAAACTAGCAGAGAAATTCTGGACCTAAACTCAATACTTTATTGGACCAAATGGACAGCTACAGAATACTCCACCCACAACCACAGAATATACATTTTTTTCAACTGCACATGGAAGATACACTAAGATCAACCACTTGCTCAGTCATAAAGAAAGTCTTAATAAATTAATAAAAGCAAAACCATATCAAGCCATACTATCAAAGACAGTAAAATGAAAGTAAAGATGAATACCAAGAAGGTCTGTCAAAACCACACTAGCACATGGAAAGTAAACAATTTACTCTTGAGTGACTTTTGAGTAAACAATAAAATTAAGGTAGAAATAAAAAAGTATTTGAAATTAATAAAAATACAGACACAATATACCAAAAATATCTGAGATGAGGCAAAAACTTTGAAATTTGGGGACATAATTCAGCTGAGATCTACTTAGCTAGAGCAAAAGCAGTTGGAACCAAAGACTGGTAAGACCATTAACTGATAATGTTGATGAATTGCTGGAAGCTTAGTGTGGACTAACATGATAGTGAGAAACTCTTGAAGGCTAAAGTACTGGGGGAGGGTAGGACATAATTTAATGGGCTTTATCTCTTGCAATTCACATTAATGAACTGAGAAAGATTCATGTATAGCTCTTGTCAACGAAGAGTCAAACTCTGTAAAATATTTGAAGAGATTCATTCTGAGCCAAAAATGAGTGACCATGGCTCATGACACAGCCCACAGGAGATCCTGAGAACATGTGCCCAAGGTAGTCAGGGTGCAGATTGGTTTTATATGTTTTTGAGAGACATGAGACATCAATCAAATACATTTAAGAAATACATTGGTTTGGGTCAAAAAGGCAGGACAGCTCAAAGCAGGGGCTTCCAAGCTAGAGGTAAATTTAAACATATTCTGGTTGACTATTAATTGAGTTTATCTGAAGACCAATAAACAAATACAAGCATGTTAAAGAGACATAGGAGCTAACCAGAGAAGCTCCCAGTGGTGTAAATTGGAATGATTTGAATTTAAAGATTATTAGATTATAACCCTAAATATAATGTAAAAATTCATGTGTCTGTGCTAATGTAAACAAATGATGGTATAAATAAGTAAATGGAGGGGTATAGACAAATATCCCAGGCAGAAGAAAGAATTCCAAACAATTTATGAGGTTACTTTGTCATTAATGACCTCGACATAAATCCTCATTCCTTGAGGTTTTTCAGTGTAGGAAAGAATGAGGAAGTAAAAAGACAAAACAAAATAAAAAAAGAGTAACTTATAGTAGAAAAATCTGATAAACACTACTTCAAGCCAGATATTTAAGGTTAACATTACCAGTGATGTTGATGTTACGTTCCCTTAACAACATGTAATGAGAATGGGAATTTATCTCTGCTGTCTTTTTTTTCAAAAACACATTACCCAAAGGCATTATGCTAAGTGTAATAAACTAGTCACAGAGAGACAAACACTGCATGATTCTGCTTACATAAAGTGTCTATTATAGTCAAACTCATAGAAGCAAACAACACAATAGCAGTTTCCAGGGGCTGGGAGATGGTAGAAATGGGGAGTTGTTGTCCAATGGGTATGAAGTTTCAGTTACGCTAGATGAATGTTAGTGCTAAATATCTGTTGTACAGCATAGTGGCTATAATTAACTGTGCAGTATTGTGCATTTCAAAATTTGTTAAGAGGGTAGATCTCATGTTAAGTTTTCCTATCACACACACAAAAAAGCAAACACACAAAGGGACTCAAGAAAACTTTAAGAGGTATGGAATGTATCTATTACCTTGATTATGATGATGATATCATGATCTTGTAATGTCCAAATGAATCATAATGTAAACATCAAATATGTGTGGTTCTTAATATATCAATTTTACCTCAATAAACTGTAAAGAAAGTAAACACACACACACACAATCTCAGTCTAACCATGAGAAAAAAAATAGACAAATGACAATTAAGGAACATTCTACAAAATGCCTTATCCATAATCTTCAAAATTCCCAAGGTCATCAAAAACAATAAGAAATGTAAGGGGATATGGCTACTAAATGTAACATGGAATCGAGGAAGAAAACTTTAAAAACATTTGTAAAAAGCATATTAGGGGAAAACAGGAAATTTTAATAAATCATGGGCTTTTGGTAATAACATATGATTGCTTCATTAATTGTAGCAATGTACCATCTTAATGTAAGATATAAATAATTGGGGAAAATGAATATGAGATATAAGAGAATTCTATGCTAAACTTGCATTTTTGTAACATTAGACCTGAAATTAAAAGTTTATTAAAATTAATAATCACACACAATATTAGAATTTTGAAAATTTTATACTTATGTGCAAACTTGGGGTTCATACTCTCTGTTACTTTAAATTCATACTCTCTGTTACTTTAAAAGGTCTTCTAGCCAAGCTAGGTTTATATTTCAATAAGTACAAAATCCACTGATGCTTAACACCCTAATCATTTGCATTATTACCTTTGCAATGTTTTCATTATGTCTACTGCACATGCCTCCTCACCCTGAAGAGCATGGTTTACTCATGGTAGATGACAGAAGCTCAAGAAGGCAACTATGCAAACACAGTAAAGCCTCTGCTTGTGTCATATTCTCCAATATTCCATTAGCCAAAGTAACTCACATTTGCAATCCCCAAGTCATTGTCAAAAAAAATACATTACCTATTCTAACAGGAGTCACTAAGTATGCTGAAGTATGACTTTTACAAAGACAGAGTGAGAACTTGGGACAAATAATCCAGTATATTATGGGTTCAAAAATGCAAGCTTATCTTATGCAGATAGTTTTTATTTAGTTCATCTAAAAAAATGGGTTCTGTGCATCATCTTTCCTAGTATCCTGAAAAGCAAACTATCCCTAGAGTAAAATATCTGGTTTGCCTAATAATTTGCTCAGTGATCTTGGGAAAGAACTCAACTTTCTGAGTATAAGCTTAGCATCTGAATCTAATTAATCAAAAAGGTCTCTCTTAAATCTATTTTTTAATTAGTAATTATTTCTCTGCCACAAGTAAATTGAATGTTTTTTGGTGTTCCATAAGAGTGTGTAAAAGCAAACACAAAAATGAGAAATGTGTGGACATAGTCTAATTTCTCAAAAAAACAGAGAAGATATGCAGGGCTATTTTATTTTTTGTTTTGTTTCTATTTTTTATTTTTGCATTTTGATAGCCTACTGTGTATTGTAATATTCATCTACAAGTAACAAAGCCTAATATATTTAAACATATTCTAATTACAGAATGTTAAACATATTTTATAGAATATTAAACTTATTCTATAATTCAAACCTTTTGCTAAGTCATATATGCCTGATATATCAAATTTATATTAAACAGTCACCTATTATTTTATTTTCTATTTATTAATTAGGGAGAAGTTTCTTTATTTTGGTGTAACCTAAATAGTGCACACAGATAGAAATATGGCTAAAGATTTTGTGTTAGTGTTCAATGATTTTCTATTATTTTCCCAAAAATAAAATTTTATGTAGCCTAAGACATAGATATTAATGTTAGTATGATTTTGTTTAATGTAATTGTATGCTGCAGAAGTGAAATAGACTATATGAGAAAAAAGTTTAAATTTGAAATGCCATGATATGACCCTGGGCAATTTTTACAGACTATGACTTAAAACAAACTTATTATCGGCATCATTTGTCGTTTCCTGTTTGAATTCTTCATTTTGATTGAACAAAGTTACTATCCGGTTTGGCAAGTTGGTAATACTTTTATCTCTACAGACTTTATTTTTGAATTTGAAAAAAAAATTCTTATTCCAGGGAAAAAAATAAGTTTTCTACTCAGAATTTTTGAAAAAGAAATGAAAATTGTATGCATTCCCAGTCAATATATTTTCCCAGTAACTTGCTTTAGGTGGGAGGCATGATTCAGTATTTCAGTTAGGTTCAAAGACAAATATGTCCATCTTACAATTGCATAATTTATTTGGATAATGTAGAGACATTTAATCAGATTAATTTATAGTGAAAGAATGATTGAATGACCTAACAAACTATAAGTTTACAAAACTTATAACACTGATTAAATGACAGACATAATTTTACTCTCCATTGTTCCCTGGTGTTTACTCATAAATATTTTAGACACATTGACGACACCAGCAAGACTGGTTGTTTTATCAGTTTTGAATGAACTAAAATCCCAAGTTTAGTAAAATATCTGCTTAGAAAACCAAGGCACTTAAAAATTATTTTACTTAATGTTTGTAACTTTCCTTCCTGCTTCCTGGTATTAATATTTAATCTGAGCTAAACTTTTATATAATCAAGTTTTATCTTTAACATTTCTTGCATACAGCAAGTGAGAAGATTGAAGATGCAGCCTCTTCTACAGCTTATCTTGTATCCCCACTAGTTTTGGTCTTTCCAAATGTTCACAAACACTCTTTTTTGGGGGGTTGGAGGGCCTCTATTTAGCTCTAATGTTGCTTTACTGTGATATAACCATATTTCTATATGAAGTTTGAGTGTACACTAACCATGAGCTTCCAAAAGGTTGAAAAATGAATTAAAAAACTAGTGCAGAAAGATTTATCTTCCTAAGAATGACTCCTTTGATCCCACCTTCACCATCTTCCACCACAATCAAATCTTCATTTCCTCTTACGTTGTTTGCTACATTACATTACAGATTATGTACAACTTCCATTTGTTTAATTTCAACATATGTATAATATGTAAAATAGTTTTTGTTTTTCAATTAATGTGTTTCTTTTGTGAAAATGGCGTATTTGGGGAAGGAATAAAATATAATTTTCCCATTATAATTAATATAATTATTATTTCTTAAGTTACTTACCAGATGTTCACTTAGCAGCAGGGTTTTTCAGGGGAAAAAAATATTCAAACTAAAGGCTAATGGCTATTTTTTTTTAAGTAGAAAATTTGACCAGTAATTGGAAAAGAGATTAAAAGCTTAAATTCTCAAATATTGAAAACCAGATAGTAAAATATTTTTGGATATTTTAACATATCTAATTCAAAAGGAATAACTTTTCGCTCTATCTACTGACTTGGAGAATTAAGAATCTGGAATAACACATAAATTCAATGAAATATTCATTTCATGAAATTATGAAGGGGCTAAAACATTGAACATCCTCTTCTAAAAAACTATTGAGATCAAAGACACTTCTAACATCTCCTCTGTTCTTAAACTCCTCAGAGCAAAAAACTGCAAACATTTTTAATAATATGCATCTGCAGTAAATTAATTGGAAAATATAACTTCAATACTTATTTATTGATTGATACATTTTATTTGTGTTCTACTACATTAGTATAATATTAACAAATTACAACAATTACCACTAAGATAAATCACAAAATGCTGTTTACAATTTGCATGTTGTTTTAACCCTTGTAATGAAATGAATTGAGTTGTATACCCCTGGCATTCTCTAAAGCCACCTTGGAAACTATTTCTTCAGGAGACACTGTTACCTGTAAAATTATGTGACTCATTTGTGCTTAAAGATGAAAAAAGTTTCTTGCAATCTTCTACTACATTATCTGTTTTCTTCTGAAACATTGCATTTATAAGTGCTGTGCTTTCTTTTTAACAATAAAAAGAATGTAGTTATTTGTAAGTTTGTCTATTAAAAATGAGAAACTATACTGCTTGCTTTTTATTCTAATGTCCTTTAAAAGGAAAAATGATGAGTTTTTAAGCAGGATGTTCAGTTAAATAATATTCTCAATATAAAGGAATATGGCAAATTAAACAAATATAATTATATAAATTTTTGAACTACAATAAATACTCTATTGAAACTTGAAATTTGATTATTCTGTGAACTAAATTAATTTATTATTCATTCATTATCATTAATTTACTGACTTCTAAAATTCTATATTTTAATGTTTTCAGTAAAAATATAGTACGCAGAATTTTATTTGAAATAAGAAAAATTCATTATGTTGTTGATAGAGAAAGAAAATTGTTTTATTCCCTAAAGTCCTATACCATTATATTTTCAATATATATTACACAGTTTTCAGAGCCTTGGGAAAAATTAATGCATTCCTAATTGTTTATTTGTCATATTGCATATTACAATAGTACCAAAAACAATTGATTTGAGTATTTAGGATCAAATATGTGTATTTTCATAAACTGTTTCAAATGTTTATATCTATATGAGTATTGCACTGTGTTTATTAAGAATGGTTGAGTTTGATGGAGGGGCCAAGATGGCCAAATAGAAACAGCTCTGGTCTGCAGCTTCCGGCAAGACCAACACAGAAGGTGAGTGATTTCTGCATTTCCAACTGAGGTACCCAGTTCATCTCACTGGGACTGGTTAGACAGTGGGTGCGACCCATGGAGACAGAGTAGAAGCAGGGTGGGGCATTGCTTCACCCAGGAAGTGCAAGGAGCCGGGAGGCCTCCCTCCCCCAGGCAACGGAAGTGGTAAGGGACTGTGCTACCCACTCCAGGGTACTGTGTTTTTCCCACGGATTTTTGCAATCTGCAGATCAGGAGATCTCCTCGTGAGCCTACACCACCAGGGCCCTGGGTTTCAAGCACAAAACTGGGTGGCTGTTTGGGCAGGCACTGAGATAGCTGCAGTTTTTTCATACCCCAGTGGCACCTGGAACCCCAACAAGCCAAGAGAAGCATCCACTCCCCTGGAAAGGGGCCTGAAGCCATGGATCCAAGTGGTCTCATTCAGCGGGTCCCACTCCCACGGAGCTCAGCAAACTAAGAACGTCCGGCTTGAAATTCTCACCACCAGCACAGCAGTCTGGAGTCAAGCTGGGATGATCGAGCATGGTGAAGTGAGGGGCATCCACCATTATTACTGAGGCTTTAGTAGGCGGTTTTCCCCTGACAATGCTAAAGAGACTGGGAGGTTTGGACTGGACGGAATTCACAAGAGTGTGACAAAGTGGCTATGGCCAGACTCCTTCTCTAGATTCCTTCTCACTGGGAAGGGCGTCTCTGAAGGAAATGCAGCAACCCCAGTCAGGGGCTAACAGATAAAATTCTCATCTCGTTGGGACAGAGCACTTGTTGGGGAGAAGTGGATGTGTCACAGCTTCAGCAGACTTAATCTTTCCTGCCTACTGGCTCTGAAGAGAGAAGCTGATCTGAAAAGGAGGATTCTTCCAGCATAGCACACCAGCTTTGCTAAGAGACAGACTACCTCCTCAAGTGGGTCCCTGAACCCCGTGCCTCCTGACTGGGAGGCACCTCCCAACAGGGGTCAACAGACACCTCATGCAGGAGAGCTCCAGCTAGCACTAGGCCAGTGCCCCTCTGGGATGCAGCTTCCAGAGGAAGGAACAGGCACCAATCTTTACTGTTCTGCAGCCTTTACTGGTGATACCCAGGCAAACAGGGTCTGGAGTGGACTTCTAGCAACTGCAGAAAACCTGCAAAAGAGAGACCTGACCATTAGAAGAAAAACTAACAAAGAGAAAGCAACAACAACATCACACAAAAAAAGACCCTCATACAAAAACCCCATGCGAAGGTCATCAGCCTCAAAGATCAAAGGTAGATAAATCCAGGAAGATGAGGGAAAACTAGTGCAAAAGTGCTGAAAATTCCAAAAGCCAGAATGTCTCTTCTCCTCGAAATGATAGCAACACCTCTCCAACACGGTTGCAAAACTGGATGGAGAATGAGATTGATGAATTTACAGAAGCAGGTTTATAAAATGGGATTATATCCTGGATAATATCCTGAAGGTGGGTAATAACAAACTCCTCTCAGCTAAAGGAGCATTTCCTAACCCAATGCAAGGAAGCTAAGAACCTTGATAAAAGGTTACAGGAACTGTTAAATAGAATAACCAGTTTACACAGGAACATAAATGACCTGATGAAGCTGAAAAACACAGCACAAGAACTTTGTGAAGCATACACAAGTATCAATAGCCAAATCGATCAAGTGGAAGAAAGGATATCAGAGATTGAAAATCACCTCAATGAAATAAGGTGTAAAGACAATATTAGAGAAATAAGAATAAAAAGGGATGAACAAAGCATCCAAGAAACATGGGACTATGTGAAAAAAAAAAAATCTAAGATTGATTGGTATACCTGAAAGTGACAGGGAGAATGGAACCAAGTTGGAAAACACACTTCAGGATATTATCCAGGAGAATTTCCTCAACCTAGCAAGACAGGCCAACATTCAAATTCAGGAAATACAGAGAACACCACTAAGTTACTCCATGAGAATATCAACCCCAAGACACATAATCATCAGATTCTCCCAGGTTGAAATGAAGGAAAAAATGTTAAGGGCAGCCAAAGAGAAAGGTCAGGTTGCCTACAAAGGGAAGCCAATGAGACTAACAGTGGATCTCTCTGCAGAAACCCTACAAGTCAAAGGGGCAGTGTGGGGGCGACAATAGTAAACATTCTTAAAGAAAATAATTTTCAACCCAGAATTTAATATCAAGGCAAACGAAGTTTCATAAGTGAAGAGAAATGAAATCCTTTCCAGACAAGAAAATGCTGAGAGATTTTGTCACCACCAGGCCTGTCTTGCAAGAGCTCCTGAAGGAAGCACTAAATATAGAAAGGAAAAATTGGTACCAGCCACTGCAAAATCACACCAAAATATAAAGACCAATGAAACTATAAAGAAACTGCATCAACTAATGTGAAAAATAATCAGCTAGCATCATAATGACAGGATCAAATTCACACATAACAATATTAACCTTACATGTAAATGGGCTAAATGCCCATTAAAAGACAGAGACTGGCAAACTGGATAAAGATCCAAGACCCATCAGTGTGCTGTATTCAGGAGACCCATCTCATGTGCAAAAACACACGTAGGCTCATAATAAAGGGATGGATGAATATTTACCAAGCAAATGGAAAGCAAAAATAAATCAGGGGTTGCAATCTTAGTCTCTGATTAAACAGACTTTAAAACAACAAAGATGAAGAAGGGCATTACATAATGGTAAAGGGAAAAATTCAACAAGTAGAGCTAACTATCCTAAATATATATGGACGCAATATAGGAGCTCCCAGATTCATAAAACAAGTTCTTAGAGACCTACAAAGAGACTTAGACTTCCACACAGTAATATTGGCAGACTTTAATACCCCACTGTCAATATTAGACAGATCAATGAGACAGAAAATTAACAAGAATATTCAGGACTTGAACTCAGCCCTGGATCAATTGGACCAAATAGATATCTACAGAACTCTTCACCCCAAATCAACAGAATATACATTCTTCTCAGTGCCACATGGCACTTATTCTAAAATTGACCACATAATTGAAGTAAAACCCTCCTCAGCAAACGCAAAGAACAGAAACCATAACAAACAGTCTGACAGACCACAGTGCAATGAAATTAGAACTCAGAATTAAGAAACTCACTCAAAACCACACAACTACATGAGAATCGAACAACCTGCTCCTGAATGACCCCTAGGTAAATAACAAAATTGAGGCAGAAATAACGAAGTTCTTTGAAACCAATGAGAACAAAGAGACAGTGTTCCAGAATCTCTGGGACACAGCTAAAGTAGTGTTAAGAGGGAAATTTAGAGCACTAAATGGCCACATGAGAAAGCTGGAAAGATCTCAAATTGACACCCTAACATCACAATTAAAAGAACTAGAGAAGCAAGAGCAAACAAATTCAAAAGGAGAAGAGAAGAAATAACAAAGATCAGAGCAGAACTGAAGGAGATAGAGACATGAACAACCCTTCAAAAAATAAATGAATACAGGAGCTGTTTTTTTTTAAATTGACAAAATAGACAGACTACTAACTAGACTAATAAAGAAGAAAAGAGAGAAGAATCAAATAGACAATAAAAAATGATAAATGGGATATGACCACTGATCCCACAGAAATACAAACTGCCATCAGAGAATATTATAAACACCTCTATGCAAATAAACTAGAAAATTTAGAAGAAATGGATAAATTCCTAGACACATACACCCTCCAAAGACTAAACCAGGAAGAAGTCAAATCCCTGAATAGACCAATAACAATTTATGAAATTGAGGCAGTAATTAATAGCCTACCAACCAAAAAAGCTGAGGACCAGATGGATTCTCAGCCGAATTCTACCAGATGTACTAAGAGGAGGTGGATTATTCCTTCTGAAATGATTCCAAACAACAGAAAAGGAAGGTCTCCTCTCTAACTCATTTTATGAGGCCAGCATCATCCTGACACCAAAACCTGGCAGAGACACAACAACAACAGAAAAACTTCAGGCCAATATCCCTGATGAACATCAGTGTGAAAATCCTCAATAAAATACTGGCAAACCAAATCCAGCAGTCGTCAAAAAGCTTATCCACCACAATCAAGCTGGCTTCATTCCTGGGATGCAAGGCTGGTTCAACATACACAAATCAATAAATGTAATACATCACATAAACAGAACCAATGACAAAAACCACATGATTATCTCAATAGATGCAGAAAAGGCCTTCGATAAAATTCAACATCCCTTCATACTAAAAATTTTCAATAAACTAGACATTGATGAAACATATCTCAAAATAATAAGAGCCATTTATGACAAACCCATAGCTAATGTCATATTTAATGGGCAAAGGCTGGAGGCATTCCCTTTGAAAACCAGCACAAGACAAGGATGACCTCTCTCACCACTCCTATTCAACATAGTATTGGACGTTCTGGCCAGGGAAATCAGGTAAAAGAAAGAAAGAAATAGTATTCAAATAGGAAGAGAGGAAGTCAAACTGTCTCTGTCTGCAGATGACATAATTCTATATTTAGAAAACCCCATTATCTCAGCCCAAAAACTCCTTAAGCTGATAAGCAACTTCAGCAATGTCTCAAGATACAAAATCAATGTGCAAAAATTACAAGCATTCCTATACACCAACAATAGACAAGCAGAGAGCCACATCATGAATGAACTCCCATTCACAATTTCTACTAAGAGAATTAAATACCTAGGAACACAGCTTACAAGGGATGTGAAGGAACTCTTCAATGAGAACTACAAACCACTGCTCAAGGAAATAAGAAAGGACACAAACAAAAGGAAAAGCATTTCATGCTCATGGATTGCCAAGACCAGCTCAGTCAGGGAGACCGTAACCCAGCGGTGCTAGAGGAATTAAAGACACACACACAGAAATATAGAGGTGTAGAGTGGGAAATCAGGGGTCTCACAGCCTTCAGAGCTGAAAGCCTCAAACAGAGATTTACCCACGTATTTATTAACAGCAAGCCAGTGATAAGCATTGTTTCTATAGATTATAGATTAACTGAAAGTATTCCTTACGGGAAACAAAGTGATAGGCCGAAATAAAGGGATGGGTCTGGCTAGTTATCTGCAGCAGGAGCATGTCCTTAAGGCACATGTCACTCGCGCTATTGTTTGTGGTTTAAGTATGCCTTTAAGCGGTTTTCCACCCTGGGTGGGCCAAGTGTTCCTTGCCCTTATTCTGGAAAACCCACAACCTTCCAGCATGGACATCATGGCCATCATGAACATGTCACAGTGCTGCAGAGATTTTGTTTATTGCCAGTTTTGGGGCAAATTTATAGCCAGATTTTGGGGGCCTATTCCCAACAATGGATAGGAAGAATCTATATTGTGAAAATGGCCATACTGCCCAAAGTAATTTATAGATTTAATGCTATTCCAATCAAGCTACCATTGACTTTCTTTGTAGAATTAGAAAAAACTACTTTAAATTTCATATAGAACCAAAAAAAAATATTGTATACCCAAGACAATCCTAAGCAAAAAGAACAAAGCTGGAAGCATCATACTACCTGACTTCAAACTGTACTACAAGCCTACAGTAACCAAAACAGCATGGTAGTCATACTGAAACAGATATATAGACCAATGGAACAGAACCCAGAGCTCCAAAATGACACCACACATCTGCAACCATCTGATCTTTGACAAACCTGACAAAAACAAGCAATGGAGAAAGGATTCCCAATGTAATAAATTGTTCTGGGAAAACTGGCTACCCGTATGCAGAAAACTGAACCTGGACCCCTTTCTTACACCTTATACAAAAATTAACTCAAGATGGATTAGAGATTCAAATGTAAAACCCAAAACCATAAAACTTCTAGAAGAAAACCTAGGCAATACTATTCAGGATGTAGGCATGGGCAAAGACTTCATGACTAAAACACCAAAAAGAATTGCAATAGAAGCCAAAATTGACAAATGGTATCTAACTAAAGTAAAGATCACAGCAAAGGAAATTAGCATCAGAGTGAACACGCAACCTACAGAATGGGAGAAAATTTTTGCAATTTACCCATCTGACAAAGGTCTAATATCCAGAATCTACAAGCAACTTAAACAAATTTACAAGAACAAAACAAACAACCCCATCAAAAAGTGGGCAAAGGATATGAACAGACACTTTTCAAAAAAGGAAATTTATGAGGCCAACAAATATATAAAAAAAGCCATCATCACTGATCATTAGAGAATTGCAAATCAAAACCACAATGAGATACCATCTCATAGCAGTTAGAATGCCAATTATGAAAAAGTCAGGAAACAATAAATGCTGATGAGGCAGTGGAGAAATAGGAACGCTTTTACACTGTTGGTGGGAGTGTAAATTAGTTCAACCATTGTGGAAGACAGTGTGGCAATTCCTCAAAGATCTATAACCAGAAATTCCATTTGATCCAGGAATCCCATTACTGGATATATACCCAAAGGATCATAAATCATTCTACTATAAAGACACATGAACACATATGTTTATTGCAGTACTATTTACAATAGCAAAGACTTGGAACCAACCCAATGTCCATCAATGATAGACTAGATAAATAAAATGTGGCACATATACACCATGGAGTACTATGAAGCCATAAAAAAGAATGAAATCATGTCCTTTGCAGGGACATGGATGAGGCTGAAAGCCACCATTCTCAGCAAGCTAACACAGGAACAGAAAACCAAACACTGCACTTCTCACTCATAAATGGGAGTTGAACAATGAGAACGCATGGACACAGGGAGGGGAACACCACACACTGGGGCCTGTCAGGGGCTGGGGGGCAAGGGGACGGAGAGCATTAGGACAAATACCTAATGCATGTGGGGCTTAAAACCTAGATAATGGGTTGATAGGTACAGCAAACCACCATGGCACATGTATACCTATGTAACAAACATGCACGTTCTGTACATGTATCCCAGAACTGAAGTAAAATTTAAAAAAATAGTGATTGAGTTTGACTATGTTTGAAATTATTTGACAGTTCAATTGTATCTATAACAATTGAAATATCTTTTATTCCTGTTTGAGCCAGTATTGACTTAACCTCTATTAAATATCTCTTCATATTGCTTCCATCCATTAAGGAATTTCAAAATGCCATTTTCTCTTCTGCTTTTTTTTTTTTGTATATTTTTCTTTTTCTTTTTTTTAATTATTATTATACTTTAAGTTTTAGGGTACATGTGCACAATGTGCAGGTTAGTTAAATGGTTAGTACATTTAACTAACCATTCAACCTGCATTTGGTGCAGGTTAGTACAACCAAAGTGATAGTTTAGAGTATCATATTCAGTATTCTTCTTCATTACATCTTCAGATGAAGACATTCTTTCTTATTTTAAAATTTTGAGATTCTGCTTTCAGATAGGTTGAGAAATAGTCTTATGAATTACAGTCCATGAACTCCAGAAGCAAAATATTTTCAAATAATTTATGGACTCATTAGTCTTAGCAACAACAATATCAATATCAACAACACACATGGGAAGGGAAGATGCTGGGTAGGGACAACTGAGCAAATTCCAGCAGTCAGCTCAGTATTGGGAGTCCAGTCTCCATTAATCCATTGATTTTTTTCTGTGTATCTGCTGTTTGCTTACTCTGGAGCTGATTAAGATAAAACAGTTGCCTTTTTAATGTTTGTGTTGGGTCACCAGAACTCGATTCATTAAGATATATCTGATGACACATTTGTTATGTTGTAATCAATTAAACAAGGGAAAAAACAAGGTCCAGACATGAGAATATGTTGGTATCTCTGAAGAGTCAGATCAAACTATTGCATGATAATGATACATTGATGTATACATAAAGAATAGTGGGACTCCTTGGAGCATGTGAAAATGTGAGAATTACCTAGAGCTTTTACGAATTAAGTTAGGCATTAATATTTTTTGGAAGACTATACAAGTTAGGACACACTATACTATTTGACCCTGTGTTACATATGAAAAAGAATTTTTAAGTAATCTAGTTTATAGTTTCTTAAATGTTGGCATTTAAAATATTTTAACAGTATCAAATAAAAATATTTTGAAGAACAAATATTTTATGTGCAAGCTTCTTTAAACAAATAATAAAATCTGTCCCAAATAAACAGAATTTATTATGAACAATATATAAGAAAGCAGAAAGGCATGAACTATCAACCTAATTGTAAAGTCAGAGCTGAACTTTCTTCAGGTATATATCCAATTTTTAACTTTTGAAAGTGATTGCATCTTGATTTGTCATAATAAGTACAGACTTTCTATTTTTGACTGGAATTATAGTAATTAAGCTATAATTAACTTGTGAAGATAATAGTGGCTAGAGTCATTTATTTATGAATAAAACATGAAAATTGGCTTCAAGATAAGGCAACATATTCTTCACACACAAGTTTTATTTAAACTCATTTATGTTTTTATTTGCAAATCAGCCCACCATAAATGGGGCCCCTACAACAAAAGGCTGTGGAATCTGGCTCAGTTGCAATATAGCATGCATCCTATTTGTGCTCTTTGCCTCTTCTTGCAAGCCTTCTTCGTTGCAGAGGCTTTAGCAATCTACTCTCATGTCTTCTGGAGTATCTGGATACCCCATGATGGCCATAAGGTGTCCACGGATTTTGATGCAAGAAAGTGCCCTGCTCAGCCTCATACTATATTACATTAGAGTGGTAATTACAGCTTTAGAGCTCAATATTCTTGTAGATTATCACTCCCCCCGTGCAAAATGTCTGAGCTGCTGTTCTGGAAGTGGGGGATAATAGAGGGGCCTACTTCTTTTGGAAGTGTCTCTTTTATTACATACGAGACACTAGATGGGATTGATAGACTGTTGTCTTCTTGGTTTTCCTCCTTTGAAATGGAACGTTTGCCCACTGAGTAAGGTGCTATGATAGCCTCCAGTGCCACAATATCCTTAGCCTGCCATACTTATGGTAGAACCTTAGCTTTACAAGTGGGAGCTGGGTAGAAGATGGGATACTACACCTCTTGGCTATACTCACCTATAATTGAGCCTCTGAAACACATAGCTGGGTGGGATGAGAAGTGCTAGCTGCCTGAGCCTCCCTTGGAGATACCATATCTTTCAATTGCAAGCTGGAAGAATCTCTGTGTTCCTGACTCTACCCACCCACAGTGGAATTTCAATCATGCTGTGTGAAGAGGCCAGAGAGAAGGAACAGATTTGGTTTAATGCCACTGTTTTATTTTACTGGCTTTAGAAGATATTTATAAAATAAAACCTTCTTTAGTTTCAGCATACCCTTAGATCAATTTCCAGAAATTTATTTGTTATCACATTTTAAAATATAATTTTCACGAATTATGTTTGTTTCTTCGGGGAGTAGTTCCCTGTAGCTCTTCACAAAGCATTTTAAAAGTGAAACTCTCCCATGTAAAGCTTTCATGATGATAAAATTATAATAAATACAACCATATGTGTTTCCGATAAAAAAATACACATGCAAAATTATGTACTTTAAAAGTATTTGGCACATATTAGTTGGTATAAAACCTACCTTTTTAATTATTATTTTATTTGGAAATTAAAATACTAATTTATTTCATAGTCCATTTAAATCCTTATTATTTGGTTATTTAACATATATTCAATTTTATATTCCTGATAAGTAACTGAAACACAGCAAAGTTAGAAAACATCCCTACATTCACAAATTATGTGAGTGGTGAAGGCAGGGGTGGTTGAAATTGCTTGTTCTCAGTTACTATGCTCCAATGAGTATCTAAATCATGCTAATGTAACTAAGACATAACCAAATAAATCAAATGTGTTTTTGCTCATCTCTAATAAACACCATTCTATTGTCTCAACCAGTTTGAGAGTACATCACTTGTGACAGGATTCACTTGAACCCACTAATGTGACGTGAAGATTATTTTAAGATGAAAACTTCTGAATAAACATCAGCTCTGAGGAAAAAAAAAACCCAGAAAACTCAAAATAACTAAGTTTAACTTCTTTTGCTGACTTAAGTAAATTTTCCCCAAATTAAAGCTACCATAAATGCCCTCTTTGGGAGGTTTACAGTCAGAAAGGAGAGAGAACATTTATACTTGGATGAGAAATTACACAGGCAAAGCCCTATGAAAACCTTTTGTAACTTCCTCTTGTTTCCCTGAACTTGTTTCTCATTAGTTTCCCACCATTTGTTTTCCCTTGAAGTCTCCCCTTCTTATAAGGATGATATATAAACCACTAACTCTAGCTGTTCAGTGAGCTGCTTGTTGGTGCACCTCCCACGTGCATGAGTAAACTTTGTCATTTCTTCTGTTTATCTATCTTTTGTCAGGTCATTTGCAGCCCCAACCACTAAATCTGATTTGGTAAAAGAAAATGTTTTTTTCCCTCCTATTTCCTGTTTTGAAAACGACATAGCTGCATCGCAGTGATCATTTTTCAATTTGGACTACCCAGCTAACATTTGATTAAAGTCTACTGGAAAACAATAGTTCAGGTGCTGAAACTAAGAGAAAAGTGACTTTAAGCAGAAACTGAACATTAGTCACAGATAGAATAGTATCCTGATTCTGCAAGTGCACTTAGAGATGGCTCAGGATGTGTGTGTGTTTCTTTTTAATACTAAGCATAAATATAAATCCAAGTGCTTAGACTAAAGAAAGGGCTAATGACACAAAGGGATGCAACACAGTGAAATAATGTTAAAAAATGTTGTTTGAATTAAAAAAAATCTAATTGATATGTAACCCAAGATATGACGTAGTATTTTAAAGTGTGGTAAGAGCATCTGAAACCTCATTGGAAAATTTGGGGAATATTGAAGCCTTCCCCATATTTCTGTGAATTTATAGGATCTGGCAGATTATGCGCTCTTAAACTAAATTCGTTGTTTTCTGATTTTCATGACATTTGTTTTATGTTGTCTATGATGTATACTCTGACAAAGTACTACTGATCTCTTTGTCTATTTTTCAAAACAGTCACAAAAATAACAATCAAGAGAGAACTCATTCCTGTAGCATAAATAAGGCTTTGGAATGACAGAAACATATATTGCAACATTACAAATAGCTTTAAAATGTATTAATATATGTATGCCTGTACAAAATATTTCTTGGAATGCTACTTGAGTGCAAAGTTGAGAACATTGTTACTGTGATGAATGGATGTGTTGACTACACTGTTCTGTATGTCAAAAAACTGTTTAAAGATATACATATAAGATATTAATAAGAGTGCTATTCGTACACAAAGTTGACATCAATGTTATTTTAAGAACGCATTCACCACACTATCATGATGAAAAACGTGTTTTTAAAGACACATGTGTAATTTAAAAAAACATTGTGCTGACGTTATCTAAAGAACCCCATTATCTCACATTTTTCAAAAGCCGTATCACTCTATCACCATATTACTCATCATTCTTTCATGAACTTGCTTTGTTTTCTTTTCCTTTCTATTTTTTTTATTTTTCAGTTTTATTAAGGTATAATTGACAAACTGGCTTTATTTTCTTCTTCCCGTTTCCATAGCAACAACCCCTACCCAATGAAAATAATACATGACTATCTTTAAATTATGCAAAGGATTTCAATGCCTTTATCATTATGCCTTCCTTTATTTAGCCCTTATGGTACATTAAGGTATTTTCCTAAACCAAAGCATAAAAATTTAGATGCTGTGTGTGTGTGTGTTTAGACTTTTAGGGTATATTTACATATGGCTAAAATAGTTCAGTGTTAAAGTAACTCTATGTATACAAATATTAAAGAATTGTTATGACCAATTCCTAGCTTATTGTATTATATCCAAGTTTATCTATGCATTCTACTTTTTCTCCTTTAGCATTTTAACAATTTCATAAAAAATAGAGTATAGCCCTAAGGTAAGTTACCATAGATCATTCTGTTTCTTGAGCTATAATGTCTTCTCAATTCTGTCTTTTCAAAACCAATCCCATCTTCCATATCATGTCAAAATACACATACTTATAAGTGAATTTTGCTTTGTGCAATAAAACCTTTTTTTTTTAACACCATTTAAGTCAAAAGAAAATATCTATGATGAAGAATCTTTACAGAGAATACTTTCTCTGGATCTAAAGATAGGATGATATTTTCTAAATCACCTTGCTTTGAACTGACAAGGAAATAGAAATCAAAAGCTTTGACACTCTAATCAATCAAATTGATTAATCTCTAATCAATTAATTGAAGATAGGTCTATAAGACTAATTTTTTTTTACTACATTCTTGATCTATATCACAAGTGGTGGACTATTCTTTTGTTACTCCCATTTGATTAAAAAAGGGTGGGCCTGGTGGTGGCTCATGCCTGTAATCTCAGCACTTTTGGAGGCCAAGGGAGGAGGATTACTTGAGGTCAGGAGTTCCAGACCAGCCTGGCGAATGTGATGAAACCCCCCATATACTAAAAATACAAAAATTAGTCAGGCATGGTGGCGGGCACCTGTAATCCCAGCTACTTGGGAGGCTGAGGCAGAAGGAGGTTGAGGGAGGTGGAGGTTGCAGTGAGTGGAGGGCACACCATTGCACTCCAGTCTGTGTGATAGAGTGAGATTCTGTGCCCCCCTGCCCCCCAAAAATAGGTGCTTAAAATATGAAATCATTTTTGCTAGGGTTGTCCTTAAGCTCCTGCAACAAAACTTGCAAAATTTAGATTTCAGAGTATGTTGGATTTATTAGCTTTGCTGTTTCCCTTCTTTTTACACAAGAAATAATTCTAGTTTTTCATGTTTGCATTCTTCACTTAAGTTAAAAATATTACACACACACACACAAAGACACATCTTACTTCTTAAAACCCCATATGTACTCTAAGAATATTTTGAGAAAGGAGAAATCAGTTCCACTTAATTTCATTCAATAACCAATGGTTAGTTATCAAATAGATAGAATAAGGGGGAAACTCTGTTTTCTTTGTGATTAAAACACAACATAAACTTAACCTCTTTATAAAATTGTATTAAAGTGAAATACTTTTCTACATTTAGTCATCTGAATTAAAACAAATTTTCTTGATAACAATGTTCTTCCGGTCAGCTATTGTCCCTTATTATGTGTCATATTCGTCATAAATGTAATGCAATGGCTCTTTAATTATATAAATTTAAAAGTCAAGACTGGAGCTGAAAGGGAAATCTAAAAATAAATTCCAAAAATTTAAGTGGTTTAATTTTGTGAGTTTTCTCTTAGTAAAGAGACTATCCCAAATATTAATAAAGATCTAACAAGTATAGTTTTAGATTTGTGTGTAATAGGGCTATCGTAAATTATTTGATAACTAACAGTACAGTTCCTTCTGAAATTCTGATAGCTTACAAATAGTTACCTATACATTTGACATAGTATAATGTGTTTTATTAACATTCTTCACAAGTAAAAGCTTAAATAATATTTTCATAAAAATGATATATTCTTTTATATTTTATACTTGAAAGGAATCATTATTTTCGACACCATTTTACTCTGCTAAGTGACCTACACAACATTTATGAAAACTAAAAATTATATGCTTTGATATCACTGTAACATAAGTGACTAAACTTTGTAGCTTGTATTTTTTGGGTAACACTTCAGGCAATATTTAAAAAATCTAATATTCTAAGGAAAATTCTGTGAGAATTCACACATTGGATTTATGGTGTGAGATCCACAGTTTTTATGAAATAATATAAGTAATATTTTCATTTAATCATAATATGCTAGAACAATGGCCTTTTCCATTTACTTTGAAAGCAATCAGATATAGTTATACAAACCAAGAACACGATAAAATAAAATCTGTGCTGTCTCCAACACTTCTCCAAAGACAAAATTTGCCCTTTAATTACTATTTCACAAATACTGAGACAGTACCACTTCAGTGTAATTAATAAGAAAAAATTCCTTTCTGAATAGCTGAATATTTTGAATGTTATGAGATGATAAATCATACTGATCAAAACACAGTTACATCTATATACACTAGGCTGTCATCGTTAAGAAACATAAGTTATGATAATAAGCATATATTTACATCTTCATCTTTTGAAACAAAGAGTGGAAAAGACTTTAAGTCCTCCTGTTGATTCTCTAAAATATTTAAACAGCAAAATGTTTTTTAATTGCTAGATATCTATCCTCTGATAGTCTACTTTGTTTATTTATTTTTATTTTTATTTTTTGAGACAGAGTCTCACTCTATGGTTCAGGCTGGAGTGCAGTGGCACAATCTCAGCTCACTGCAAACTCCTCCTGCCGGATTGAAGCTATTCTCCTGCCTCAGCCTCCCAAGTAACTGGGAGTACAGGTGTGGCCACCAGATCCTGCTAATTTTTGTATTTTTAGTAGAAGTGGGGTTTCACCATGTTGGCTAGGCTGGTCTCAAACTCCTGACCTCATGATCCACCCACTTCGGCCTCCCAAAGTGTTGGGATTACAGGCATGAGCCATAGTGCCCAGCCAATAGTCTACTATTTTATTTCCTTAACTTCATTATTTAAGCAGGTTAATTTAGGCTGAACTTGTATTTCTCATTGGTAGACCCACATACAGGTTTATTTCATTTGCTTTCATATATCTTCAATGTATTTACTTCCCATGGCCCCATCTTAAAAATAGAATATCTGAGGTATCATCTTAGGCCTATTGAATATAATTTGTACAGAAATGCTCTGATAATCTGAATTTTCAATGTGTATTCATCTTCTCTTTGTGCAGTGAATTAAAGCCAAGTTCAAAACTTCATCTGGAAAAAGAGAAAGAAGAAAGGAAGAAAAGGAGGAAGGAAGGAAGGAAAGAAGAAAGGGGAAGGAGAGGGAGGCATGGGATACAAAGGGAAGGAGGAACATGAGGGAAGATGGAAAAATAGAAGAGTAGATAAATCTAATAAGCCAACATTGAGAGGCAACTATTTATGAATCTCTCTGGTTTCTTGTCATTTTGCAGAAACATTGACTGCTTTTGTTCTAGACTGTCTTTTTAACGAAGTTTGTTTAGTAGTTAGGAAGACAAAGTGTCTAACCATGGAGTAGGCTGACTTACTACCCATTATAAAATATTAGTTTCCTAAATGAATGATTTCTTTCATATAATGTGTAAACAGTTACATTTACAGGCATCCATCTGGGTTCAGCTGGGTTGCTCTCAAGAGACTTAGTGGCAAAGGGGACTGAGGAAATACACGGATGCTCATGCTGCTTGCATTATCATAAAGCAATAAAATTCCATGTCTCTGAACCATGAGTCTCATGTGTGTTCTGCCAGCATCTATAAAACCGTAGCCACCTAAACTGTTAGCTTGCAAGTCGAATAAAATCACAAATCTTTCCCAGATCTTGACAATTTTAGCTATGAAGATGGAATACTGACATAGATAAACATTTATGAAAAAGGAAGAATATTGGCTCTTTGGGGGCTGATTAATGGGACTTGATGAAATTCCTTGGGAATTGGTCATGAACATGTCTAAAATGTTATGATCTACTGGGCAAGAAATTATCTTCTTTATTTCCTGTTAGTATGGACAACTCTGGAATGAGATTGTAGGATGTGTACTAGACAATCTTCTTTATTACATATTAATATGGGAGAATTTGGGCTGAGATTGCAGGATGTACACTGGACAACAATAGGTTCAAATACTGGTGGCAAAATTTTGTCCTAGTTGTTACTAACTCTTCCTGGTTTAGATCTTGTTAATGTGATAGTCAGCTTCAGGTCCACCCCTTTGTAACAACTAGTATTAATTTTCATCCTAGCTAGGCAGGCAGAAGGTTCCAACCCATTCCAGACAAGATTTATGTGTGTGTGTGTGTGTTTGTGTGTGTGTGTATGTGTGTGTGTATATGTGTGTGTGTATATGTGTGTGTGTGTATATATATATGTATATCCACATCATTGGATCACTGAGTGATAACTATGGGAATGTGTGTGGGAAGATATCCAGTGATATCTGTGGGTGTTTTTCATGAAAGATGCAGAAGCTAGGGCCAACTCCTACTGTTTTTAATAGAAGTACTATTAAAGTTATGGAAAGTAACTATCAAATCATGGTACAAACTGTCTGATGGGGATGACAAATCCTACAGCTAGTTAAATTGAAAGCCATTGCAAAACTTTTTGAAAACAATGAAATGGCATTTTGTTTTAAAGGAAGGCTAAAGTAGGAATGCCTGGCTAAGATATCATCAATGCCTTCCCTCCCCTGTACGTACTGGGGCTGGGGGTATTTCCTCAGTTCTTCCCCCTTCACTGCAACAAAATCAGCAGTCTATTTAAAAACTAAACAAATAAATAAAACCTTTATATCCAAATTATTTTTAAATGCAGTTGTTCGGAATTGAATAAGTCCTCCCAGAATTCATACATTGAAATGCTAACTTCTAATGCAATGGTTTTAGGAGGTGGAGTCTTTGGGGGCAATCATGAGGGTGGAGACCTTATGAATAAGATAGTGCCTTTGTAAAAGGGACCCCAATGGGCTCTCTTGCTCTCTCTCTGCTACATAAGGAGGATGCAAGAAATCTGCAGGCTGGTACCCAAGATAGGGCCATCACCAGAACCCAACCATGCTGGCATCCTGGTATCAAACTTCCAGCCTCCAAAACTTTGAGAAATAAATTTCTGTTTAAGCCACGAGTCTATAGTAGTTTGTTATAACAGTTCAAGTTGAATAAGACAGCAATTGAAAATGTTTATACTGTAGGTTCAAATGAAAAAAGACACAATCACTTGTAGAGAATATGCAGAGCATGAGCTCAAATACATTTAAATGCATTTGACCCAAAAATGGAAGAAAAATGTATTTTTAACTTTAATGTTTTTGTTTAGCTCTGAATTGTGAGATAATACCTGAAACATTTTCTTTTATTATTATTATTATTTTTTTTTTGAGACAGAGTCTCGCTCTGTCACCCAGGCTGGAGTGCAGTGGCATGATCTCGGCTCACTGCAACCTCTGCCTCCCGGATTCAAGCCATTTCCAGCTAATTTTTGTATTTTTAGTAGAGACGGGGTTTCACCATGTTGGCCAGGCTGGTCGCAAACTTCTGACCTAAAGTGATCCGTCTGCCTCGGCCCCACAAAGTGCTAGGATAACAGGCGTGAGCCACTGCACCCAGTCCTATTTTGTATAATTTTTAAAGTTATTCATTTAGTTCATTTTCTCAGAAAAAATTTTAATATTTAAGTTTATCATTTAGGTATGTTAAAGCTATTAATATTTTAAGTTGATTCATATATTCTGGCAAAATATTATCTTAATTTCCCTGAGGTTAGCTATTATGACTTGATAATTGTTTATTTTTCTTATCACATAACTTCACTTGTGTTTCATACACTATTTCAGGCCTATTATTTCCCTGGTTTGTCAGTACTGATGTATTTTCAAACTATTCTACAGCTGGATTGAGTTACAGAACCATGTTTTCTTTTCATATTTTTATGTTCTCTAAAAGAAAAATGAAATTAGATGGTCTAAGAAAATTTTATTGAATATGAAAAGATTATTAGAAAAAATTTTATTATTGTTGTATTAGGGATCTCTAGAGTGACAGAACTAATAGGAGATATATATATATATAATATATATGTGTTTATACATAGATAATACACATACATATATGTGTATAACTCCCAAATAATGTGTGTGTGTATATATATATATATAAACTCCCAAATATCTATATATACACACACATTATTTGGGATTTATACACATATATATTTGTATTATCTATATACACACACACACACACACACACACACACACACATATATATCTCCTATTAGTTCTGTCACTCTAGAGATCCCTAGAGTGTGTGTGTGTGTATATATATATCTGTGTGTGTGTGTATATATATGTGTGTGTATATATAGATAATACACATATATATGTGTATTTTTATATATATATATATATATGTATATATACACACACACACACACACACACACATAAATTTGGGAGTTTAAGTGTTAACTTACATGATCATAAGGTCCTAGGCTGACTACAAGCTGAGGAGCAAAGAGAGCCAGTCCCAGTCCCAAAACTGAAGAAGTTGAAGTCAAGTTTCAAGGGCAGGAAACATCCAGCATGGGAGAAAGATGAAGCCTGGGAGGCTAGACCAGTCTCTCCTTTTCATGTTTTTTCTGCCTGCTTTATATTTGCTGGCAGCTGATTAGATTGTGCCCACCAGATTAAGGGTGGATCTGCCTTCCCCAGCCCACTGACTCAAATGTTAATCTCTTTTGGCAACACCCTCACAGACACACCCAGGATCAATACTTTGTATCCTTCAATCCAATCACGTTGACACTCAGTGTTAACTATCACAAGTCTACCTCTTGTCAACCTGAACCCATATACGTCTCCTGAGATCATATATAATATTGAAATAAAGATAATAATAAAGTCATAATTATGCCCAACATAATATAACTGAATACAAGTGTACAACTGGAAACACACCAATCCCCAACTCAGATACTATTACATAAAGTTAATAATACATAAATGCTGAGGCAAAGTCAATAAATCTTATGTCACATGATAAGGGTAAAGGAAATAAAATTAAGACATTTTCTTATTACAGTTTATACATGCACGAATATGTTTTTAACAAAAGAAGGAGAAAACACTCATGACAGTTATAGTCCTGGTTTCTGCAACTGGTCACGTGGTTGTAGCTGGTATTGATGACTCCCCTTTTCTACTGCTCATTCTGTATTCCCTTTGCCTTCAGTAAGCACCTCAGCAGGTCATGTTTTCTTTCCTGGTGGAGTGACCCAAAACTTAATTCCTGAGGGGTCTGGGCCATTTGTAGTCTTGCCTGGATTGGGCTGTTGTAGTTTCCCTTTGACGTTAATCACAGGGCATGGTAATACTAAGAGACACCCCAATGGATCTCCTGTATTCTATGCATACTCTTCCTTACCTCCATTATGGAGTAGTAGACTGATTTCATCTTGATGGTGCAGGTTAATCACCCCAGCCAACACTGTAACTCCCTTCTTAGCCTGCTTACTTAAAGATAGGAGGAGCCCAAAGGGTCCAGGTGGCAATCTTAACTTCCAGTTTAATGGAATTGTTGTTGTGTCTCTTGATGGCATTCATCTGTCTGGAACTAAGACCTCTAGGCCAGCAGAACATAATGTCGGAGAAATAGGAAGCAAAAATTTTGCTACTGGATCACTAGGGGTGATGGTGAGTGGTGTCACTTCCACTTCCACCCTTTGATTCCTGGACCCATAAATCCTGGCTATGGGAGAAACAGTATCATATATTGGATGCTAATTCACAGCATATATGTCCTTCTGCAGAGCTTTGCCCCAGCCCTGCAAAGTATTGTTACAGAGTTGGCATAATTGTGACTTCAAAAGGCCATTCCACCATTCTATCAATCCACCTGCTTCAGGATCTTAGGGAACATGGTAAGACCAGTGAATTCCATGAGCACGAGCCCACTGCCACACTTCTTTAGCCATAAAATGAGTGCCTTGGTCAGAGGCAATGCTGTGTGGAATACCACGACCGTGGATAAGGCATTCTGTGAATCCACTGATGGTAGTCTTGGCAGAAGCATTTTGTGCAGGATACGCAAACCCATATTCGGAGTGTCTATTCCAGTGAGGACAAACCTCAGCCCTTTCCATAATGGAAGAGGTCCAATACAATCAATCTGCCACCAGGTAGCTGGCTGATCACCCCAAGGAATGCTGCCATATCAAGGGCTCAGTGTTCATCTCTGCTGCTAGCAAATTGGGCGCTCAGCAGTGGCCATAGCCAGGTCAGCCTTGGTGAGTGGAAGTCCATGTTGCTGAGCCCATGTGTAACCTCCATCCCTGCCACCATGGTCACTTTGTTCATGGGACCATTGGGCGATTACAGGGGTGGCTGGGGAAAGAGGCTGAGTGGTATCCACAGAACGGGTCATCCTATCCACTTGATTATTACAATCCTCCTCTGCTGAGGGTACCCACTGGTGAGCATTCACATGGGATACAAATATCTTCACAGTTTTTGACCACCAGAGATGTCCATCCACATACCCCTTCCCCAAATTTCTTTGTCACCAATTTTGCAATCATGTTTCTTCCAAGGCCCTGACCATCCAGCCAAAACATTGACTACAGCCTATGAATCAGTATATAATCACAAACCTAGCCATTTCTCCTTCCATGCAAAGTGCACAACCAGGTTCACTGCTTAAAGTTCTGCCCACTGAGAAGATTTCCCTTCCCCCCTGTTCTTCAGGGATTTTCCTTGAAAGGGGCTATAGTGCTGCAGCTGTCCACTTTCAGGTGGTGCCTGCATATCGTGGAGAACCGTCTGTGAACCAGGCCCTAGTCCTCTCTTTCTCTGTCAATTGATCATACAGAACTCCCCATGAGGCCATCGGTGCAGGCTGGGGAAGAGAAGGCAGGTGGCAGAAGTAGGGACCATGGGCATTTAAGCCACTTCATCAAGTAACTTACTTGTGTCTTCAGGAACTGCTCGAGCCTGCTCATATATATATACCACTTCCATATGATGATGGAATGCTACTGTGCACAACCCACTTTATGGCTAGATAGGTAAGAAAGCACCCAATTAATGACAGGAAGTTCAGGTTGCATGGTGACTTGATGACCCATAGTCAAATGTTCAGTTTCCACGAAAGCCCAGTAACAGGCCAAGAGCTGTCTCTCAAACTGGGGGTAGTTAATCTGAAGAAGATGGCAGGATCTTGCTCCAAAATCCTAGAGGTCTCCACTGTGATTCACCTGCGGAGGCCTGCCAAAAGCTCCAAACAGTAGACTGGACCTGTTGCAGAGCCTTCTCCTGTTCTGGACCCCACTCAAAACTCCCAGCCTTTCATGTTACTTGATAAATGGGCCAGAGTAACAAACATATCCAAATGAGGAATGTCTTGCCTCCAAAATCCAAACAGGCTCACTAGGCATTGTGCCTCTTTCTTGATTGTAGGAGGGGCCAAATGCAGCAATTTATCCTTCACCTTAGAAGGAATATTTCAACATGCCCCACACCACTAACACCCTAGAAATTTTACTGAGGTAGAAGGTCCCTGAATTTTAGTCAGATTAATTTCCTGTCCTCTGGCATGCAAATGTTTCACTGATAAGTCCAGTGTGTTTGCCACTTCCTGCTCACTGGATCCAATCAGCATAATGTCTTCAATGTAATGGACCAGTGTGATATCCTGTGGAAGCAAAAAGTGATCAAGTTCTCTCCGAATAAAACTATGACACAAAGCCGGAGAGTTGATATACCTCTGAGGTAGGACAGTAAAGGTATATTGCTGGCCTCGTCAGCTGAAGGCAAATTGCTTCTGGTGGGCCTTATGGACAGGAATGGAGAAAAAGGCATTTGCCAAGTCAATGGCTGCACACCAGACACCAGGGAACGTGTTAATTTGCTCAAACAATGAAACCACATCTGGTACAGCAGCTGCAATTGGAGTCACCATTTGGTTAAGCTTATGATAATACACTGTCATTCTCCAAGATCCATGTGTCTTCTGCACAGGCCAAATGGGAAAGTTGAACGGGGGTGTGGTGGGAATCACTACCCCTGTGTCTTTCAAGTCCTTGATGGTGGCACTAATCTCTACAATCTCTCCAAGGCTGTGACATTGTTTTTGATTTACTATTCTTCTATGTAGAGGCAGCTCTAATAGCTTCCATTTGGCCTTTCCCACCATAATAGCCCTCACCCTACCAGTCAGGGGGCCAATGTGGTGGTTCTGCCAGCTGCTAAGTATGCCTGTGCCAATTATGCATTCTGGCACTGGGGAAATGACTAAAGGATGAGTCCAGGGACCCACTGGACACACCGTAAGTCAAACCAGAGCTAAAATTCCGTAATTATCTGACTTCTGTAAGCTCCTACTTTAACTGGAGGATCACAGTGATGTTTTGGGTCCCCAGCAATCAATGTCATCTCACAGCCAGTGTCCAGTAGTTCCCGAAATGTCTGATCATTTCCCTTTCCGCAGTGCACAGTTACCCTGGTAACAGTTTGGAGGTCTCCTCGGGGAAGGATGGGAGAAAGATTCAATGCATAAATTGTTGGTAATGTAGTGGGGTCCTTCCTTAAGGGGACCCAACCTCCCCTTCATTCATAAATTTTTTTTTTTTTGAGTTGGAGTCTCTCTCTGTCACCCAGGCTGCAATGCTCATGCCTGTAATCCCAACACTTTAGGAGGTCAAGGCAGGTAGATCACCTGAGGTCAGGAGTTCAAGACCAGCGTGGTCAACATGGTGAAACCCCACCTCTACTAAAAAATGCAAAAATTATCTGGGTGTTGTGGCGCCCCTGTAATCCCAGCTACTCGGGAGGTTGACGTAGGAGAATTGCTTGAACCTGGGAAGTGGAGGCTTCAGTGAGCTGAGATCGCACCACTGCATTCATTGCTATTTATGATCCCATTATAGTTAATGGAATTCCTAGCAGCCTGATAGAGACTAGCTCATTCAACGTTCACCCCTCTCCCATTATTTATGAGTTCCCAAAGGGCTACTTTACCTGTGCCCACAAAATGGTCCATTAGCAGCAGTCTCCATGCAAGATCACTGCCCTTTCTCTGTACCTGCTGACCATCTGCCAAACTGGTGTCAAACATTTCAGTCACTTTCCACATCATGAAGATGCTAATGTTTACCTAATTACCAACAAACAACACTTTGAATCTGTATACTCTTATCTCGTGGATAGTACATTGCTGGGTTGATTTTGTAGGTGAAGTTTTTTTTTAACACATGAACTGTGAATTAGTAATACCTGCAATCACAAATCCATGTCTCAAAAAACCTTCTCACGTGGATTGCAGAAGATTCTGAGCCCTCGCTCATCTATTAATTTGGGAAATGAACTAAGTTAAGACCTGATGCTGATATTAATAGATCCCATACTATATGTGCCCCTTTTCTCTATTGTCCTCAAATCCTCTGTTTTGTGACTTAAAACACCCTGTTATCAGTATGAAATTACATTTTGCATGGATAACAATTGATACCAACTTAGGTGAAAATATAACATGAATAAAAGAGGTGGATTACCTGTTAATCTACTTCAAGTAATACGCTCAGCCTCCCATATTTTAGTAAAGAGCTTAAAGAGAATCTCGAAGTAGAACTCTACCGTGTTGATACTTTAACCTTACATTAAGAAATACTGGTTGAGGAAAAAATGAAAAAGAAAAAATAACTGGATGATCATTGTGGTTTGTAATTTTTGCTGTCATTGGAGTCAGAACCAGTGTTTCTTGAAAACAGGTGAGGAGAGATATGTACCTATATTTGTTTGTTTTCATTAGCCAAGTTATTCTCTTTTACCTTTTGTACAGAGCCATGTCTAACTTCAATATATAAAGACATATTCTATTTATAATGGTGTATAAAGGTAACTTAATTAGTTCATGTGGTTCTCAATCCAAAACCAATGATCTATTTCAAAAATAAAAACTGCCTGGTCCAAAATACTTTACGGATGATTTGAATGCAATTATTTTTCTCATGGTTCGCAACACAAGTATTCAGTATAAGTGAGAAATATTCAGTATAAGTGACTTTTCACAAGTATTCAGTATAAGTTAGTAGTAATTTTGCATTTCACTGCATTAAATGACAACTCAACTGTGTAAAAACCAGACGAGGGTGGAATTGCTCAACTGTAGGATTTCTCTTTCTCTCCATGGTAGCCAGTGAGGCTCTTTGAGGCCAGTTGTGAATATCAGCGCTGATTTTTGTAGTCATCAGTGCAGACGAATGCTTCTCACAATTTAATGTGCCCACATATCACTTGGGGATCTTGGTAAAATGCACATCAGATCACGTAGGTTTGTGTTGGTCCTAAGATTCTTCATTCATAATGAGCTCCCTAGTGACTAATATAGTGACTGATGTGGATCACACTTTGGTAAACAAGGGTCTACATTATTCAAATCAAATTTTCTTCATTTTATACAAATATATATTTTGAGCCAGTACCCATGCAGGCCACTGCATTACAATAGACTTTGTTTTATTTACCTTTGTAATATACCTGTCATTCCTCAAGAACGTAAGAACTGAGTATTAGGGTGAGACAGCTTGACATGAATTGTGCTAGCAACCATGAAAGAACACTCTTCATAATAGAAATCACCCTAGATAATTTCTGTAAGGAAGATTAATAATGGACTACAAAGAATATACTCTAATAATTATACACATTGATGATGTTCTGTGGGAATAACATAAGCACATATTTGTATTGATAATTTTCAAACAGAGAAAAATAATACATTAAATCAATATTAAATAATTCTTATTAATTTATGAATGTAGGAGATATGGTAGTGACACCTCTTGGTAATAAGTGGAGTAGCAAGATAAGTGCCTTTACCTTTGCATTTTATATATATATATATATGTGTATATATATATATACAACTATATATTAGGTTATATATTATACTACTAATACTAACACTACTGGTACTAATACTAATAATACTAACACTAGCATTAGTATTAGTAGTATAATATATAATCTAATATATATATGTACATATATAAAAGGCTAAGGTAACACTGGTATTAGTAGTATAATATATAATGTGTTTTACATATATATAAAATGCAAAGGAAATACTGTTATTAGTAATAGTATAATATATAGTATAATACTAGTATTAGTATTACTAGTATAATACATAATCTAATATGTATGTACTAATACTACTTATATATATTAAATATATATATACTATTATATATTAGTAGTATATATTCATTGCTTTTTAAATTAATAGTTAATAGCATCAGATTACTTATGTAGGCTCAGGTACATCAAGTATTTAAACTCATTTGTACTTATTTTCCTCTCATTAATAGATTATGGTAAACAGTTTCTTAGTATAAAATAACTAACTTGTTCCTTTTTATTTTTGTGTCACTAACACAACAAGTAATGGAAATTTATATATTGAGTAAAAAAAAGTAGTAATAGTAGTATTTTCATTGGGGTAAATTATGATTATTTTTTAAAAATTTCCTTAATTGAGTTATTTCTGCATAGCAACGGAAGGAAGAAACAGAATACCCATGTTGTTCTTAAAAGAAGACAATATTATAATACTTGGTAATATCTAGGGGCTTAATGCATCTTGCAATATGATATGTATATAGTTTCATATGCTGATTTATCACTTTAGTTAGGCAAAACTATACAAAAATTCATTAAAAATATTTTAGCATTTTTTAGAACATGAGTTGCAATTTTGCTTGGTATCAACATAGAAAAGGCAAGCTAATAGCAATATGGGAATGGTTAATGCCTGTACTTAATACATATTTGTTGAAATAGTGAATGACAAATAGTATGGCAAAATCATACCTTTGATATAAAATGATATGGGCAAATATAGGGTGGAATTGCTATACTTAATTAAAATATATATATAGCCAGCTGATTTTTTATGTAATAGCTTCTGTTTTGTAAACAAGTATCTTATTCTTCTTTTTAAAACTGTAGGAAACTGGTCTGCCACCTATGGTATAGAATTACAGAATCTTAAGGATTCTTTTTATGGTTTATAGCTCCCTTCTAACAATTTTGTAAGTGAATATTCTAAATGAATTTAATTTGACAACAGTGTCAAAGTTCCTGGTATATTATAAAACTGTCACATTAATCTTGCATTACCCCTTTGAAATAGTGAAAATGAAGTATTTTTGACATAAAACTTGACTTTTAGATACAGGAGATAATTGAAAGTATATTTTCCAAATAACAAAGAAGGTAGTGATATAAAAGTAATTATACTTTGTGTTGCTTAATTTTATGTGGCAACCTGACTGGGTCACTGGGTGCCCATATATTTGGTCTAACATTATTCTGGGTGTTTTTATGGGAGTGGTTTTGGATGAGCATAACAATTAAATAGGTAGACTGAGTAAAGCACATTGCTCTCCATAGTTGGCCTCATCCAATCAGTTGAAGGTCACAATACAACAAAAGACTGAAACTCCCCTAAGTTAGTCATGCACACTGCATAAAATAGCAAATGAACCTGAATTGTGAATAACCTGGGAAAAGTGGTTAAGATGTAAGGCAGAGAAGACAAGATGAAGAAAAAAATTATTAAAGAAGAGAAAGAGATGCCTTTATGAAAAGAAAGTGCTGGAAGGGTAATAATACATGAAAACGCTAGAATGCCCCTGAAGATAAGCAGACACAGACTGGGAGAAATGATGGGTTGTTTGGAAGTTGTTAACACATATCAATCCTACTCTTAATGTTCATAGAGTTAACACAATGAGGAATTGGCCATTGTATATCTCAGGGTATGATATAGTAATAAGCAATCTTAACATCTCATGACTTAGCACTACATAAGTTTATTTCCCATTCACACTATGAACCTGTCATATGAGCAGCATATTTAGATCATTATAGTTATTCTCAGATTCCAGCTGATAGTAGCTTTATTTTAGCATTTGCTTCCAAGATCACCTTAGCAGAAGGAAAAGATGTGATCATTTATTCTCAGGCTTTGTAAAACTACAGTGGAATTGATTCATGCCGCTTCAAACATTTCATTGAACAAAGCTGCTACTGTACTCTATTTTATACTCTATGCTATTCAAATCATTTGATAAATATGAGGAGAGCTAGCATTGGCCAGGATTGGTAACAAATTGGATGAGGCATAAAAGAAAAAGTAAGGAATCTTAGATGACTCCAAATTCTCTAGTTCAAATTGGATAGGTTGTTAAACTACAAGTGCAAAGAATTAGAGAAAAAGAGAACTAAAATACACAGACTTCAGCTTGTGTGAGAGAATCTATCAGGAATTATGTGTGTGTGTGTGTGTGTGTGTGTGTGGGTACACGTGTGTTGGGTATGTAGCAGCTTTTGTATCACAGAGTAAATGCTTGACTGACATTTAACTTACCACTCCTAATATTAATGTGCTTACAACATCACATGCCAGATTTGCATGTAGGAAATTATTCCCTCATAGATGAAACCCACCTGTCTTTTACTGCTTTGTGATACTGGAAATGGACCTTGTAAACATTTCTCTTTTGCCAGCTGACATAATATCAAGCTGGGTCAGTAAAGAGTGCTGGTCTGATTGGTTTCTCTGTCTTCTTTGCTCCTGCAGTGTGTGAAGACCAGTTCCTGGGAGATATCCAGTGAAGCTGACCTTCCAGATGGCTCTTCAGTGACCTAGCCCCAGACAATTACCTGGCATTTTGTTAGAACTACAACTGGCCTTCCTACAAGTTTTGCAAGCATCTTAGCAGGTAGTTTCTCAGCATGTTTCAGTTATACTTCCATGGGTGGCTTCCCAGGGAGTCCCACCAGCATGTCAGAAGGTGGCTTCATAATTAGTTTCAACAGCACCACAAAGGTGGCTTTTCAGTGGGTTCAATTGGAGACCAGCCAGAATCAGTGCATTCCTTCGGCATCCCAGTGGGAAGTTTTCTGCTTTTCAGTCCCTGTCTATTGTATGAATTATTTGTGATTTTCTGTAATTTATGATGCTTTGACATCTCAGGGTCTGGCTAACGCTAGAAATACTGTTCCTCTCGTGGTTAGCTAGTTCCTAGAGACAGTAATCAACTTGTCTGCCAGCACATCTTTTACATGCAAACCAAGAAATCCAAAGTCCATACCCCCAACCACCTCCTTTATTTAACTCTCACACACCAAATCAATATTGTGCCTGCTCTAAATTATTCCAGGGATAAGTATTAGACAACTGGGGATACCTATATAGCCGAGAGCTTACTGATATTGTTCAAGCCTACCAATTCTAAGGATTTACCATGCCTAGCCCATTCTTGAACTTGATTCTAAGGGTTTCAGACAAAGGACATTGGGATACAAACACTAAATTGGACTGAATTCATTAATACAGGCATAGTTACTACAGATTCTGGATATAATGTGGTAGGTAGATTGTGGACCTGGAGCTACATTTAACCATGGATTTTTTATTTAAGAAAAACTTGGAAAAAACAGTGTTTCATGAGAATTTATATGTTAGAGCTTCCCTGGTACGATGTGGAAGAGGGAATCCTGGGGCTTTAGTAGATAGGTATGTTGAAGTAGAATGAGCATGTGCAACATGTAGTCCCAATTTGTATGTTTAAGAGAAAGTCTAGCAGTCACCCCCTTTATTAAGGTAGTGAGAAATGTACTCATGAGGGAAACACCTGAATCCATGAAAAGCCCCGTGATTGCTTTCCTTTGTAGGTTATTTGTGACTATGGGAGATACTGCAACTGATTTGTTCTTTCTGATTTCAATATGGAAGATTGGATCCAGAGGTACCAGAGGCCAAGTCGTAGCACTTAACTGCCAAGACAAGGTTGATGTATTAATCATAAGGGGCAGCTCAAGGATGTACTGGTATGCATAAAGACTTACCCAGTAAGGAACTTTGGTCCTGCTTAATTAATTGATTATGGTATTCCTAAGATAGAAATAGATGGATGTCTTACTGGAATACAGCTTGATTAACATTAGAAAATAACAAAAACAATAGTTTCAATCTGGTAATAAAAACCCTGTTGCCACAGTAGAGAGTCACCATATCTTCTCTATTTCTAGATCTAAGATAATTCAAAGATCCAAAGTCTCTTGAATGAAAGCCTTCAAATCAGTTGACATAAATGACACAACAATTTGAGTACATAACCTTTGATGTAAAGAATTATTAATGAGGGATTGATGACACAAAATTTGGTAAGACTTAAAGAAAACTAAAAAGAGAGATAGATAGTACTATATTAGGTTGAAAGCTTGTTCCCTCCAAAACTGACATTGAAATTTCATTGCTATGTTAGTAGTTTTGAAGGGTGGGACCTTTAAGAGGTGACTAGGTTATGGGGGTTCTGCCTTCATGAATAGACTGATGCCACTATGAAAATGAACTAATGGGAGTGGTGGGTTCTGCCATGTGAGAAACAGTGTTTCTCCCTCCCAGAGGATGCAGCATTCAAGGTGTCATTTGTGGAACTAGAGACCAGGCCCTCACCAGACACCCAACCCTGCCTGCACTTTGATCTTGGACTTCTCAGCCTCCAGAACTGTGAGAAATACATTTGTTCTTTATAAATTGCCCAGTCACAGAAATTCTGTTATAGCAGCACAAAATTAACTAAGACAGATATAGGGAGATTAGATAGATAGATAGATAGATAGATAGATAGATGATAGATAGATGATAGATAGATAGATAGATAGATAGATAGATAGATAGATAGATAGATAGATAGATTTAAAAAAAGAAGATGTAAGAGGCAGCCATTAACAATAGAACTGTAACAGGTTGCTTAAAGAAGTGCTCCCCCTCCCTGCCACACCAACCAAAGGCTGAAGGGAGGTATTTCTGTGGCTTGCTGGATGTTGAAAATGTTAGGGATGTCTCTGAAAATATATTATCTCTGGTAACGGGGGAAGCCATTCACAGGGGTGATTGTCACCTTAGAATGCATTACAATGCCACCTATAAAAGAGCCAAAAGGGAACATTTGCAGGGAGGAAGGGGCCTCACTGGTGACATGCTACTGTGAAGCCATTGTAGGATGTCCTAAGGATACTACTAAAACTAAGTGCTTCAGAAACCAGGAACCAGAGAACTTACCCACTGCAGGAGCTGGAATTGGATGAAGCCATACCCTAAAGTAGTGTATCACTGACAAAACATCACCCAGAAAGGAGGCTAGCATGGGATTAATTGTGCTATGAAGGGCACTAGCACTGAAGAAAGCTTTGACCTAAAGGAGACTAGAGATTGAGGCACAATGGGTAGAAGAGGAAGAAACCCCTTTTTTACCTCCTCAAAAGCAGATGTGTAGTTCTAACAATTTTAGGAAAGAAGAAGATAAATATTTATTGTTTACCTTTGCTTCCTTCCTTGCTACCCTCTTCCTTCATGTATATAAAAGAGATACACACACACAAACACACACACAGACACACACACACACACACACACACACACACAGAGTGCAGCGGGGGAGAGAAGAGAAAATATGCACGGCTATTATGGTTATTATCTCTCTAATTGGTCACAATGTAGTAGCTGATATCTACAGCTTTCTTCTTCCACTATGCATTCTGTATATTCCCTGCATGTAGCCGGTACCTCAGCTGAAAGTTTTTGTCTTGTTTAGTAATGTAAAACTTGCGACGTAAAACTCTTATTGAGGGTCTAAGTTTACAACCATCTTTTTATTTATTTTAATTTAGTCATTATTTTGATTGTCACAGTTTTTCATTAACCTGTACTACTGTGTGCAGAAGTATTAAAAAGCACTTGGAGATTTTAGATTCAGTCCTCCTTGCCTTCACAGTGTAGCAGCAACAAAATATCTCCTTGGTAATTGGAATTAATAACTTCAGCTGGCAGAGTAACCCTTCTTTTCTGCCTGTTTGTTCAATGGCAAAAGGATTCCCAAATTGCCTAAAGGCAGTCTCATTCTACAATTGAATGAGTGTTGCATCTCCTAGTTGAAGCATCCATGCCTTAGGAACTAACACCTCTAAAAACAGGCAAAGCCCAAGGTTTCCAAGAGAGAATGCAAATATTCAGAGAAGATATTTAGAAATAAGAGTGAGCATAGTCTCCCTTACTTCCACTACTTGACTTCTGAACTCATGCATAGTGACTTCTGGGAAGACAAACAACTATAATGTCTTCTGATTAAAATAATTCGAGTCACATATTATATCCCTTTAGAATGTTATCTCCCAGTGGGTACCATTACTAAATCTTCAATAAACCATTTTATTTTTAAATTAACTCAGCCAATACTCATCCAAAAGTGTGCTGGGCTACATGTTATAAGAAGTTAATTTCATGAGCATGAACCAATCTCTGCTCTTCCTTTGCTGAGAAATGGGTTTCTTCATCAATGTTCTCATGAGGAATATCGTAAATGTGGGTAAGGTATTCTGGAGGATCATGAATGATGATGCTATGATCTGAATGTTTTTGTCCCTTTCCTCCAACCCCCAATTCATACTTTGAAATTCTAATCCACAATGTGACAATATTAGGCAGTGGAGCTTAGGAGAGGTACTTAGGTCACAAGAGCAGAGCGCTCATGAATGGACGTAGTGCCCTTTTAAAACAGACTCAAAGGAGTTAATTTACCATTTCTGCCATGTAAGGACACAGTAAGAAGGTGCTATATACAAACCAGGAAATGGGCCCTTATCAAGCATCACATCTGCCAGCAACTTGATTCTGAATTTCCCAGCCTCCGTAACTGTGAGAAATAAATTTCTGTTGTTTGTGAGCTACCTAGTCTATAGTACTTTGTAATAGCAGCCTGAACCAACTAAAAACAGGTGGTGTTGGTGAAGTATTATGTGGGAAGAAGGCAATTCATATCCCAAATATACCTATTTAAATAAGAGCAAATCTCTGCCCTTCCATGATGGAAGAGGTCCAATCTAATCAACAGCTATGAGGATATTTAGCCTACCAAGGCAATGATGTTAAATCTAGTCCTGACTGTTAGCCTTCATAATAAGGTATTAGGCACTCAGAATTATTGTTAGTCAAGTCAGCTTTACTAACAGAAATTTCAGTTGTTGAGTTAATGTGTAGCCTCTATTTTTACCACAATGATCATTTTGTTCATGGGCCTATTGAGATAGCATTGGATGGGCTTGGAAAAGAAGCCAACTAATATCCATAGAGCATTTTATTTTACCCACCTGATACTTTAGAATCTTATCTCCTGGGAATGTCCTTTGGTGGATACTCACACTGGAGCAAATATATTCACAGTTTGTGCCAATTCTAAAATGTCCATCCATATACTTTTACAGATTTCTATGTCACCAATCTTCCAATCCCATTTTTTCCAAAGTCCTGAACATTCAATCAAATCATTATCAACTTTTCATAAATAATGTAGATCTGTACTGTTGGCCTCTGTCATTCTAGACGTATTGGACAACTAAATGCACTGCTTCAAGTTCTGCCCACTGGGATAATTTTGTCTTTCCGTTATTCTTTAGGGACATTCTTGTGTGAGGCTGTAGTGCCACTGTTGTCCACTTTTGGGTGGTAACAGCATATCAGGTTAACATATATGTAAAGCAGCCATTTTGAGTGGGTTTCTTTTAGCCAATTAGTCATAAGGAACACCCCAGGGAACTGTAGCCATAAATTGTGGGAAAGGATCTAATACGATAGCAATCAGTGTTGAAAGCATCTGAGCCACTTGAACATGAAACTTACAGTAAGTTCTGGACCTGCCTAAGCTTGGTTATAATTATTTTTTGTTGTAATATATATTTTTATTTATATATGCTAACCAAGTTGTAGCAGATTCTACTTGGACAGCTTCCAAGTGAGTTTTGCAGTTGTTCTAGAATGAGGATATCCAGCAAGTTTCTATAGTACCCCCAGCGGAAGTTTCTCAGTGAGTTCCTCCTCTCACCTCAGTCAGCTTATCAGCAAGTGTTTTAACATCTACATAGACATTTGTTCTTTGCCAATCCTGACTTGCGACGTCATACACGATTTCTCTGCCATGCAGTAGAAGACAATCTCGTATACTATTGTCAGATCTAAATTTCAACCTTGGATTGGGGATCTTCCAAATTTGTTCTTTCCTTTGTACTCTGCCTCAGCAATAAAGGCAGTAATTTTTCTCAATATACACTACACTTGTTTTATGACTTCATTTTCCCTAATATTTAATCTGCTATTAACTAGTAAATAAATTTTAGATTAAAAATTTAATGTTCTAATCATTATGTGTTTTTTATTGTATGACTGGACCATGAATAATACATCATCTTCTCCCTTAAGGTTTTTTTCTCTAGAATCTCTTGGGACGTACCAATTTGTTATTAAATACAAAATATGTGGCAAGGACTGTTCCTAGTGTTTTGAGGAAATCTGTAATAATGCAAAATTATGCAGTTTCACTCCTTATTTAGCTTTAGGTATAGTGGAGGAGGAGAAGAAGAAAGAGGAGAAGAGAAAAATGAAGAGGAGGAAGAGAAACAACAACAAGGAGAAGGAGCAGAAGAAAAAAGAACAAGAACATTTAGAACACTAAGTAATAAGGGGAACTCCACTACCCTTTATAATAAAGAAATAATTCCCTAAGGTATTAACATTAATATTGAAGATATAATGCTTGCAAAACAAGTTAAAAGGAAGAGGAGAGTGATCTTAGCTGAGAAAATATTATTTGCCAAGATAATCAACATAAGCCAGAGAGAGAAGAAATGAATGAAAATAGTAGCAGATAGGTATGGAGAGAGAAAGCATGCTTGCAGGAGAGAGGAGTCTGTATAATGCACACAACTATTTGGATCACTGATAGATCATTTTAAATGTTGTATGGAGAATGAATTGAGTAAATGTGAATATGGGATTATAGATGTAACATTTTAAAAGAAAATATAAGGGTAATATTGTGGTACACGAGGCAAAGATGTGGGCCGGATATAGGGTGGAGCAGAGGAAATAAAGCATATTGGACAAATTCAAAATATAGCTTAGAATCAATTTGGAATTTAAGTTTTATTGAATATGAGAAGTGGCAAGAGATATATAAAAATGACTAAAATGATAAATATTCTGCAAAGGGTTTAATATTTAAAATTAAAAACAAACACACACAAAAGAGATATCCCAAAAGAAAAAGCATCTTATTAAGATAAAAGCTCTCTATCACCAAAAGAATTCAATCACTGTGTAAATAATTCAATCACAAACCAAATAACAATCAGCACAGATGAAGCAGAGAGTACTCAACTCTATAATGAATGGTTGTCAAATCTGAGTGATCATTGCAATCATCTTAAGGCACATTTAAAAAGGGGGATTCAGTCTTTACCCTCAACTACTGTCACAAACTCCAGGAGCTAGGAAGTTTGTGCTTTTATTTGTTCCAGGTGACTCCAATGATCAATGAAGTGTGACAAACACTAGATGATATTTAAGGTCCTATAGCAATCTGAAATTTTATGATCAAAGCAAACTAGTAAATTGTCTGCCATTAGAGTTTGTGTTAGAAAAAAAGCAGAATCCCTTAATAGGAAAGATAATGGAAAGCAAACATAATAATCATCTTATATCCTAATCATTTTAGAGGAGGTCTTTATAGCACACAAGAACATTTTGTGAGAAATTTTTCATATCTATTTAGTGGTAAATGTTGTCAGGTTTGTGTTTTTCTTGCTAGATATGCATGTACATGAAAGTATGCATATATATTAATGACAATAATACATTTTATTTATTTATTTATTCTCTATAAGCACTTGAATAAATGATGCTGTTTCTCAGAAAAAAAAAACTCCTTAACATCTGATCTAAGTAGTAAAAGATATATATTGTGTGATCTTTTGACTAGATTTTTGTTTCAGCTTGCCCCTATGAATTAATTTCTGTACTGTATCCAGAGTGGTAAGGTCATATAACTGCTCTATTAAAAGTCATTTTATAACTTTTTAGCTCATTGCAATTAAAAGCTGAATTCCTTATGATGACCTATAACATCTTTTATGATTGCCTCTAATCATGGCTCTGATCTTAACTTTTACCATATTCTCTTCATTATAGTGATAGTGTCATATTTGTTCTTCCTTGAACACACCAAGCAACTCAATCCTCAGATAATTTACACTTTTTTTTTTTTAATGCTGGGAACATTTGCTTTCTGGCAGCCACATGGCTCACTTCTCAATTTCTTCAACTTTCTTGTTAGCTTATTATTTTTTATTTAATGAAGGTCATCCATTACCATTTCTAACCATTCTATATAGGATATCAACCTCTATCATATTTATTACTGCCTATCTAACTCACCTTGTCTCTTTTTCTCTGTGATAGTTGGTGTGGTGGTAAGGTGTGTACGGAAGAGTGATACTCTGCAATCCTGTGATTAGGTCTCTGATTTAGTGAGCCTCTGGCTGTGATTTTCAAATGTCCTTCTCAGCTTTTCATTTTGTTTTCCATCTTTATGTGAAAATGAAGACTAGAAGGATCTGGAGTTGAGTTATTTTCCTTCCTCTACTCAATTAGGTTCTGATAAAACACATATTGACTAGATTTTGATAAAATTGTTTCTTCTGAGGGAAGCCCTTTGTTAAAGAGAAAAAATATACTGAGCAATTTCAAAATACCCGAAGCATGAGATTTTTCTCTGGTGTTCATCTTAGAAACCTGATGGGGTTCCTGGAACTAAAACTAGTGAGCCCTTGTGACTGGGTCACTGAGTATTTAATTCCCAAGCTAGTTCACAATGAGCCTTCAGCAATTTGCCCTCTCAGTTGAAGTATTCCTACAGCACTGATGCCATTGGCTGGTTTCTGCTTCTGGACATCTACTCTCAGTAAGCTGTGATTCTTCGTACTGGCCTTTCTCTTCAGTTTTCATGGCAATGGTTTGCCTGGTGACTCCAATTATTTCACAAACCTAAGAAGAGTTGTTGAATTTCAGTTTGTTCAGATTTTTTTCCAGTAGTGAATATAGGAGTATGGCTTCCCAACTCTTTACATATTGGACTGAAAATCAGAAAAAATCTCCTTTAAAAAAATAGTTTGCTTTCTGCCTTTTCCAACTACAGTTAAGCTCATGGGTGTTACAGATCTTTGTCTTCACTTTTTGCTGTTTTATTTCAAAACTGTGGCATAGCAGACACTTGACAAATATTTATTGAATGTATGCTGGCATGATTTTCTGGATCTTTCAAGAGGGAGGACCCTCGTCCTAGTGGTCATAGATATCATGAGTGGGCAGAATATACTAAAACTGAGACTAGTTCTCAGAGGGCTTCAGAAGCCACATAAACAATGCTATAATCAGGGTTTACCAGTCTCTCAAACACTGAGTTTACAGACTTCATCCCTTTATGTGATGCCTTGCCAGAGGCATGTCTAGAAAGCTAGTAAAATGCCAGACAAGGAAACTGTATTACTGTATTGGTATCTGAAATAAAAGCTATTATAAATTATTTCCTACTCAAAGAAAAGGAAAATCCTGTGAGTACAATGTTTTTCTAAGTCTGAAATTAGAGGATACCTGCCTAAATGAATGAGCTGTGTAAGTAAGATTCAAGGGTGTTGCTTAATTTTGTTATTATAATAGCGTCGCAGCAGCTGCATATCCTACTGTAGATCATTCTTGTCCAAGAGGTCATTGTTGTTGATTTGTCAATTTGGAGAAACTATGATGCACAAAAAATGCTTTTGTGTGCCTTATAGAAAATATGCATTTTACTTCCACACCTTTCCTAGATTTCAGAGTTCACTATCACCCAGCAACTTATGTGGAAAATTTCGATAAGAACTAGTGAATACTCTCTTTCATATTATAGAATAATATAACGTATGCACTGACTGGGGTCAAATACAAGGAGAGTTATCTGAGTGAAAGTTATTATTTGATTATCTTTCTAATGCATGTTCTTCAATAAATTCAGAAAACCATTCATAATATCTTTGCATGGAAACTAGTAATATGATTTTGACAGTCATCCATTTCCCTACCTAATGTAACTCTTCATACAATCTGGATACAGTGCTTATAATTCAAAATACATGACCTCAGCACATAAGTGAATAATGGAATTGGTTGCAGTATCTACTACCAGGTAGTCTACTGCCAGGGTACAAAATCACTTTCAGGCCACACAGTAACGGTGTTTAACCAATTTAAATTCCCTAGGATATATTTTAATGCATTTATTTTTTTTTGAGACAGAGTCTCACTCTGTTGCCCAGGCTGGAGTGCAGTGGTGCTATCTCAGCTCACTGGAAGCTCCTCCTCCCAGGTTTACGCCATTCTTCTGCCTCAGCCTCCCCAGTAGCTGGGACTACAGGTGCCTGCCACCACACCCGGTTAATTTTTTGTATTTTTAGTAGAGACGGGGTTTCATTGTGTTAGCCAGGATGGTCTCGATCTCCTGACCTCGTGATCCGCCTGCCTTGGCCTCCCCAAATGCTGGGATTGCAGGCGTCAGCTACCGCGCCTGGCCTTTAATGCATTTTTAAAAGATATTGTGTTACAAATTTCTGGCTCTCCAATATTTGACTCCATGCATTCAACTTTGCATGCCTTCTTTATTTTTTTGATTTGTGAAGCAGTTATTTCTTTTGGAATCCACTGTAAGGCAGATGTAATATTAGCTGTTGGGGAACAATAATTGAATACCTTCAAAGGCTCAGTTTGGTGGCAAAATATACAGACAAAGAGAGGATAGCCTCAAAAATAAATTCATTTCAAGGAAAACAAAAGGGAATTCAAACAAGAAGAAAACAGAGTAGGGCTTGTTTCATATAGAATTGGAGAAGACATCAGCCAAGTAAAAATTGAGAGCAACTATGTTCACTTAGAAAGAGCAGGATCTGTGGTCATGTAGCTGAAAACAATAGTAAGTTTAAATCATAGTGGTAGGGGAGAAGACTGGCTCTTGGTGGAGTTACAGGGTTGATCAGGGACAATGGATGCCAATGAAGATTCTTATAGGGATTTCTGTCTGATAACTCTGTTCTGAGCCATCTTTATTGACATAACATATTTAAACTAGACTATCCACTATAGTGTGAAATTTTGCAAGTTCCATTAATTAGGGTGAACTACAGTTCTACAAAATTTGTAGGTATAAATTTAATCCACATAAAAGTTTTGCAGTAATCCTCATTTACAATTTGGGCTGCAATCCAGATTTTTTTTTTTTTGATTCTGAAGTCTATGATCATTTTTCTACATTTCACTTTATGAAACAAGAATTACAAATAAAGTAGTGGATATGAATTATGAAAACATCCATAACTACATTTATCTAATAAGAATTGAGAAAGGAGAGAGTAGATACAAATAAACTTGGAAATAGAGGACAAATGTACTTAGAGAGGCTCTGTTTTCTGTACTCATAGCCTATAACCAATCCTTGGAAGGCCAAGATTAAGTCAGATAGAATCAGAGTGTACACGATTCACTAACCACATGACTTAGAGAATGCTACTTAACTTCTTTAAACAAAATTACTGGCCGGGAACAGTGCCACAAGCCTGTAATCCCAGCACTTTGGGAGGCCGAGGTGGGCAGATCACCTGAGGTCAGGAGTTCGAGACCAGCCTAATCAACATGGAAACCCCGACTCTACTAAAAATACCAAAATTAGCCGGGTGTCGTGGTGGGCACCTGTAATCCCAGCTGTTAGGGAGGCTGAGGCATGAGAGTCACTTGAACCCAGTAGGCAGAGGTTGCAGTGAGCCAAGATCATGCCACTGCACTCCAGCCTGGGCAACAGAGCAAGACCCTGTCTCAACAACAACAACAGCACAAATATAAACAAGATGAAGATAACAACAATAACTACTCGATAGGACAGTTGAGAGAATTATATCATTATTTTCTAACTTTTCACTTTCCTGCACACAGAGAACAGGATGGTATATTTATGTCCCAATAGGTTAAACACATGAGGCACTCTGGCTGCCTCAGGTTCCTGCCAGCCATCTCAAAGACTGAAATAATACTAATACAAAATATCTAGATATTTCTATGTCATTTGAATTGAGGAAACATTATTTAGATAAAGAATGCGTAAAGTACATTGCTAGAAACACAATAGATTGCCACTGAAATAGCTATCACAAAGGACTTATCTTTACGATGAAGTGGGTCAAAATTTTCTGCTCCAAGTTTGTATTTGGGATACCATAAAAGATATAGAGTAAAATGAAGAATTTCTCTCCCCTTTGAAAGATCACATCAAATCTCATATTTATTGAATTTAAGTTAGGGCAAACATGAACCTTTGATACATTTTATTTTCAGTGACAATCTAAGTCCCAATAATCCAGGCACGACCATGATACCTGCATTCATATTTGGGATGTGTGATCCTAAAACAACATTTTTTCTACAAGTGCTTGCATCTTATTTGTTCATTTGTCTCAAGTAATGATTTTTGTGATGAAACACACAGATCAGTAATATCTGCCTTTTCTCTTTTTCTCAAGCTTTTTAACATTTTTCTTCATATTTCTTTAAAAAAATTCTGTAGAATTTCAGAATTTCTCTGTATTTTCAAAGTTCCCATTTGCAATATAATTCGACACCCTCCATGCTTCCATCTGAAACCGTGTGTGTATATTTTCTTCAGTTTCTTTTTCTTTATAGAATGCTGAATGCTTTAAGCAGATTCCATGGTAACATATTTTTCTGAAACTTCTTGTTCTTCCTATTTAAGGAGTTATACCTTCCTTAGTAATTCGTGTCAATGCCTTTAAGTTAAATATTTATTCTCATGTGATATTAAATACGATTCTATGTTTCTCCCATATAAGATGTGAGTTGATTACGAGAGATACAATTGATATGAAAGATAAGGAAACTGGAGATCATGCAATCCGCTTTCCCTTAGATGACTAAATAATTACTGTTACACATAGCATTCATTCTTGAATAGATAACCTCTGAATTCGCACATGGCTTTCCAAATAAATTGGTCCACTGAACACAAGTTAGTGTCAATACTGTATTGTACGTATGCAATTCTCACAATAACCTTATATTGTTTGGGTTTATCTTAAATGTTACTTGTTTATTTATTTAGTATCATAAATTTAATATTATGTTTTCTGCAAAAAGACAAAGTATGCCGTTTTAAGATAGCATTACACAATTTATTATACCATTTATAAGTTACACATAATTTATCTTCAACTATAATAACTCATGTGCTCATGAATATCCTTTTTTTCTCATTAAGAATAAGAAATTCTTAATTCTTGACATTGTTATATCCTTATTTACCAATGGTGGCACAGTCTCTCATAGGCATTTGATAAAATGCTTTCATGAAATTCAAAAGCTTTTGTGGTATTAGCAATTTTATAGACACTTCATAATGTCAAGATTTTAAAAGAAAGTCCCCAATAGTCTATCTATTTATTTTTAAAAGAAGAAAAATTAAAATACAGTACATTTAAAATTTATTGCAAGGTAAACTTTCATTTTGGAGAAAATAGCTGAGCAAATAATCATATTTGTTTTAAAAATAAAGAAAAAGAAGACAAATGGAAAGTTAGTATGTGAGAACAGACATGTGCAAGAAAAGCTATTTTCTTTTTTAAAATCTAATTTGTTTGTCTTGAAGGTATTAGAAAACAGAAAACTCTACAAGTTAGAATTAGTGACTAAATGCCACTAGCTCTCTTACCCAGAAAATACCAAATATAAACATATTTCCTCTTTGTGATGCTATCATATCTGAATAATTTATGTAAGAAAATCTCTCTATAAAATGATTGTGCATGTGTTTTTCAAATTTTGTTTAACCTGAATGTTTACATATTTTCTTCACAAAGTGTACTTGCCTTAATGAAATAAAATAATTTGAAGTTTATAAAGATCCAGAAGCACTGAGTTTCTCTTTACAATTGTAATACAATCTTAAAATAAAAATATCAAATTTATTTGTTAATTTGACTATGTAGATATTGGCTATTTAGAATCCTGAAAGAATGGACTTTAGGAAGCATTTGTAAATGCTTTCTGAGTAGTTGATGTGCACATTTAGTTTTGCAGATATTCTTTGTTGACTGGACCATAGGTGACTACATCCTAACATCACTTAACATTGCTCTTTTCCTAGGTGATTTTTTTCACAGACCGTGTCACTTTACTAATAGATGCTTCAGAAGAAGTAAGTAAATGAAGAAAAACTGATGGACATTTTAAAGTAAGAATGTTTAGGAGTCATCATTACTTTATGTAAAAACTAACTTTTATTAACTATTAACAAATTTATTTACTAGAATATATATTCAAAAGGAGTTTAATATGAAAAACTAAAAATAATTTAAATATTTTTCTGTTATTTAAATAATGTAAATAATTTTTTGCACACATTTTCATGACATTGATCCATAAAAATTATTCTTACATTTTCAGAGCAAACAGTTACAAATATTTCAAAACA